>NW_015495301.1:0-205407 GCF_000001405.40 Homo sapiens | reverse complement strand
TCTAGACCTACAGGGGCTTTGTGACATATTTCTGCACTGATAACCCAGGTGATGTAACTCTTGTCTAGGCTCTGCCTACAGGGGCTTTGTGACATACTTCTGTACTGATCACCCAGGTGAATGTAACTCTTGTCTAGGCCCCACCTACAGGGGGTATTGTGACGTATCTCTGCAATGATCACCCAGGTGATGTAACACTCATCTAGGCTCTGCCTACAGGGGCGTTTTGACATAGCTCTGCACAGATCATCTAGGTGATGTAACTCTTGTCCACTCTCTGCCTACAGGGGGCATTGTGAAATATCTCTGCACTGATCACCCAGGTGATGGGACTCTTCTCTATACTCTGCCTAGAGGGGGATTTGTGACATATCTCTGCACTGATCACCCAGGTGATGGAAGTCTTGCCTAGGCTCTGTCTATGGGGGCATTGTGTCAAATATCTGCACTGATCACCCAGGTGAAGTAACTCTTGTCTAGGCTCTGTCTACAGGGATTTTTGTGACATATCACTGCACTGATCACCTAGGTGATCTAAACCTTGTATGGGCTTTGCCTACAGAAGGCTTTGTGACATATCTATGCACTGATCTCTGAGGTGATTCAACTCTTGTCTAGGCACTGCCTACAGGGGACACTGGTACATATCTCTGCACTGATCACCCAGGTGATGGACGCTTGTCTTAGATCTGCCTACATGGGCATTCTGACACATCTCTGAACTGATCAACCAAGTGATGAAACTCTTGTCTAGGCTCTGCCTACAGGGGCTTTGTGACACATCTCTGCACTGATCACCCTGAGGAGGGAACTCTTGTCTACGCTCTGCCTACAGGAGGCTTTATGACTAATAATTACACTGATAAACTAGGTGATGTAACACTTGTCTAGGCTCTGCCTACACGGGAATTCTCACGTATCTCTGCACTGATCCCCAAGGTGATGTAACTCCTGTCTAGGTTCAGACTACAGGAGCGTTTTGACATATCTCTGCACTGATCACCCAGGTGATGTAACACTTGTCTAAGCTCTGCCTACAGGGGCATTGTGACAGATCTCTCCAATGCTCACTCAGGAGATGTAAAAATTGTCTGGGCTTTGTCTACAGGGGGCTTTGTGATATATATTTCCACTGCTCAAACAGGTGATGTAACCCTTGTCAAGGTTTGGCTTATAGGGGCTTTGTGAGATATCTCTGCACTGATCAGCCCAGGGAGGGAACACTTGCCTACACTCTGCCTACAGGAGGCTTTATGACTTATCCCTGCACTGATCACTAGGTGATGTAACAATTGTCTAGGCTCTGTCTACACGAGAATTTTAACATATCTCTACACTGATCACCTAAGTGATGTAACCATTCTCTAGGTTCAGTCTACTATGGAGTTCTGAAACACATCTGCACTGATCACCGAAGTTATGTAAACCAATTTCAGGCTTTTTCTACAGGGGATATTGTGACATATCTCTGCACTCATCACACAAAAGATGCAAATCTTCTATAGGATCCACAGGGAGGGGGCATTTTAATATATCTCTGAACTAATCATCCAGGAGATGTAACTCTAATCCAGGTTTGCCTAGACAGCGTCGGAAGGTGGGGGGAGACATTCAGCCAGAATTTCACGGAAGAACAAGGGCACAGAGAGGCCAGCGAGCTCCCTTGCACGTCAGCCGGGGTGCGCACTGCGCGCAGGTCTAGCCAGGAAGCGGGCAAAGACAGACAGAGGTATGCTTTTGACCGCCAGGAGCTCCGCGCTGGCAGCTGGGAGGCTGCAGGCTCGCAGGGCCTCGCTTTGGCTCGGGGTCCAAACGAGTCTCCGTCGCCGTCCTCGTCCCCGGGCTTCCGCGGGGAGGGTGCTGTCCGAGGGTGTCGGGAGGGCCATCGCGGTGAGCCCCGGCCGGAATTTCACGGACGGACGCGGGCAGAGAGAGGCCGGCGGGCTCCCGTGCACCTCAGCCGGACTGTGCACTGCGGCAGGTGCAGCCAGGGGGCCTGCCCGGACAGCCAGCCAGCCAGCCAGCCGCCCTTGTAAAGGCCCACAGGCAGGCAGGCTCCACCCCTTCATGAATGGCGGTGAGCCCCCCTGGGACAGCCCGCCCCACCCCGGAAGGGACCCAGGGCGTCGAGGCCTGGGGCCGGCCGGCGGGGTGGTGGTGGTGGTGGTGGTGGGGGGGGGGGGTGGGGGGGGAGGGCGTGGTGGCGGTGGTGGTGGTGGGGCCGGAGAGACGAAGAGGAACGGGGAGAGGGGGGAGGGGGGAGGGGGGCGCGTTTCGGGGGCCGGCTCTCCGGACCTCTCCAGGGATCCCGCGGGAACGGGAAGCCGCTCTCTGGGCTCCCACGCGTCGGCAGCAGGGAGAAACCAGCCTGGGAGGGTGGAGGGGAGTGTGGAACTGAACCTCCGTGGGAGTCTTGAGTGTGCCAGGCCCTCTCTCCGTGAAGGAGGCAATGCCTGTGGGCGTCGCCGTTGCCGGGACGGTCTCGCACACGCAGGCGTGTGGCTCTCGTTCATTTCCACGTAGAAGACCAGAGCGAGACCCCAGAGAGGAGATGCCTCCCCGGCGTGATGGCCTGACGATGGATTCCCGCGTGCGGCAACGTGGGGAGTCTGCAGTGTGGCCGGTTTGGAACCTGGCAAGGAGAGCGAAGGCACCGTGCCGGGCTTGCACCCTTCCCTGCATGTTTCCGGGTGCCCGCAGAGCTCCGGGAGCAAACAGTCGGCATGGCCAGCCTTTCGGGGGCCGGAGAGACGTGAGCAACAGGCCGCCTTGCGGAGGGCAAAGCCACGCGGAAACCAAAATCACGCCTCCGTCGTCCTGCGTGTGGCTCCTCCGTGGCCGGGGCTGTCGGCCTCGCGCCGCGTTGCAGGGCTCAGCCTGGGGATGTGCGGTCTGTGAACCGCGCGGGTGAAGACCCGACGGCAACCCGAGTCCCGGTCTTTTGTCCCGGAGGAAACCGCCCACTCCCTGGGCCCCGGAACCGGGGCGAATGGGTGGTGCCCCGCCGGCCGGCGCGGCGGCTGTGGGCCCAGCCCTCAGCCCGCGCCGGACGCTGACCGTTTTCCCGGAGGGCGGGGGTCCCGCTACTCCCGGAGGCCGAGGACCGCTTTTCCTCCCTGCCTTCCTCCCCCCGTCCGTCCCCGGCTCCCTCCCGCCCGCCCCCAGTCCCTGCGTCGCTCTGTCTTTCCCTCCGTTCCTCCCTGCCTCCCTGCCTCCCTCCCTCCCTCCTAANGTCCCTCCGCCCGTCCTTCCGCCCCTCTAGGTCTCCCGTTCCTCTCTCCATCTCTGCCCGCCTTCCCTCCCGCCTGGAACGCTCAGCGTCCCCGGTGTGCGCCGGGCCTGGGGTCTGCGTTCCGCCGCCAGGCGCTCCGTGCTGGCACCTGGGCGGCTGCAGGGGCCCGGGCGGGCGGGCGACGGTGGCGCGGGGGCGCAGAGGAGGCGAGCCGCCGGAGCGGTGTCAGGCCCGGACGCTGCGCGGGGCCCGGTGTTTCGCGGGACGGGGGTCTCCACCCAGCCCAGGGGACGACGCGTTTTCCGGGGGTGGGGGGTGGGGGTGGGGAGGGGGCGGTCAGGCGGCGGGGTGGGCTGGTGGAGAGGCAGGAGAGCTCTGCCCGGGCTGCTCCCACAGCCCAGGCGGCTGCCCGCAAACCCGCGCGTGCGCAGTAGGCGGCCCACCTGCTGGTACCTGGGCCGGCTCTGGGATCCCCGGGATGCCCAGGAAAGAATGGCAGTTCTCCGCGGTGTGGAGTCTCTCACCGGGCCTAGACCTAGAAGGCAGGAATCCCAGGCCGGTCAGCCCGGTGGAGGGGGCGGGGCGGAGACACGCCCCTCCGTAGCCAGCCAGGTGTTCCCCGCGAAAGAGAGGCCACGGCCCTGCCCCGAACCACCCGACCCCGTCCCAACCCCGCGTCCTAAAGCTCCTCCAGCAGAGCCCGGTATTCTTCCTCGCTGAGGGGTGCTTCCAGCGAGGCGGCCTCTTCCGAGGCCTCCAGCTCCCCCGGGGCCTCCGTTTCTAGGAGAGGTTGCGCCTGCTGCAGAAACTCCGGGCTCGCCAGGAGCTCATCCAGCAGCAGGCCGCAGGGGANTGCAGACCAGGGCGCCGGNTCCTGGAGCGCCTGGGAGGGCGCCGGGATGCCTTGCATCTGCCCCTGCCGCGCGGAGGCGGAGGCGTCCGGGGGCGCGGGCTGGGGAGGTGGAGCTGCCCCGGCTTGGGGTTCCCACGCCGCCCCGGCGACCTGGGGACCCCGGCCCCAGCCCCACCACGGACTCCCCTGGGACGTGGGTGGCGCAAGCACCCCTTGGCCCTGCGGCCCCGCTTGAGCGGGCCCAGGCTGTGCCACCGCGCAGGGGCCCGGCAGGCCGTCGCGCTGCGGGTCCCGGTCCTCCCGGCTTTTGCCCGGGTGCGGAGGCCAGCGAGGAGCCTGAGGGTGGGAGAGCGCCCCGTCCGGAGGAGCCGGGGCGGCGTAGGCGAAATCCCCGCGCGCCGGGGCAGGTTGGGAGATCCCCTCTGCCGGCGCGGCCTGGCTGGGCTGCAGCGCGGGGGCGGCCCTCGCTGCCTGGCTCACGAAAGCCCCCTGTGGGAGAGCCCCAGGCGCGCAGGGCACGTGGGGTGCGGGAAGCCCCGTTCCCCACGCGCCGGTGTGGGCGAAGGCGACCCACGAGGGAGCAGGGTGACCCCCGCCGGGGGCCGCGCTGCACAGGCCGCCTGCCTGCGCGGGCGCCCTGCCACCCTGTCCCGGGTGCCTGGCCCTTCGATTCTGAAACCAGATCTGAATCCTGGACTCCGGGAGGCCCGTCTCTCTGGCCAGCTCCTCCCGGGCGGCGATGCCTGGAAAGCGATCCTTCTCAAAGGCTCGGAGGAGCAGGGCGGTCTGGGATCCGGTGACGGCGGTCCGCTTTCGCCGGCCTTCTGGCGGGCCGCGTCTCCCGGGCCAGGGCCGAGATTCCCGCCGGTGCTGCCTCAGCTGGCGTGACCTCTCATTCTGAAACCAAATCTGGACCCTGGGCTCCGGAATGCCGATGGCCTGGGCCAGCCGTTCTCTGGTGGCGATGCCCGGGTACGGGTTCCGCTCAAAGCAGGCTCGCAGGGCCTCGCTTTGGCTCGGGGTCCAAACGAGTCTCCGTCGCCGTCCTCGTCCCCGGGCTTCCGCGGGGAGGGTGCTGTCCGAGGGTGTCGGGAGGGCCATCGCGGTGAGCCCCGGCCGGAATTTCACGGACGGACGCGGGCAGAGAGAGGCCGGCGGGCTCCCGTGCACCTCAGCCGGACTGTGCACTGCGGCAGGTGCAGCCAGGAGGCCTGCCCGGACAGCCAGCCAGCCAGCCAGCCAGCCGCCCTTGTAAAGGCCCACAGGCAGGCAGGCTCCACCCCTTCATGAATGGCGGTGAGCCCCCCTGGGACAGCCCGCCCCACCCCGGAAGGGACCCAGGGCGTCGAGGCCTGGGGCCGGCCGGCGGGGTGGTGGTGGTGGTGGTGGTGGTGGGGGGGGGGGTGGTGGGGGAGGGCGTGGTGGCGGTGGTGGTGGTGGGGCCGGAGAGACGAAGAGGAAGGGGGAGAGGGGGGAGGGGGGAGGGGGGCGCGTTTCGGGGGCCGGCTCTCCGGACCTCTCCAGGGATCCCGCGGGAACGGGAAGCCGCTCTCTGGGCTCCCACGCGTCGGCAGCAGGGAGAAACCAGCCTGGGAGGGTGGAGGGGAGTGTGGAACTGAACCTCCGTGGGAGTCTTGAGTGTGCCAGGCCCTCTCTCCGTGAAGGAGGCAATGCCTGTGGGCGTCGCCGTTGCCGGGACGGTCTCGCACACGCAGGCGTGTGGCTCTCGTTCATTTCCACGTAGAAGACCAGAGCGAGACCCCAGAGAGGAGATGCCTCCCCGGCGTGATGGCCTGACGATGGATTCCCGCGTGCGGCAACGTGGGGAGTCTGCAGTGTGGCCGGTTTGGAACCTGGCAAGGAGAGCGAAGGCACCATGCCGGGCTTGCACCCTTCCCTGCATGTTTCCGGGTGCCCGCAGAGCTCCGGGAGCAAACAGTCGGCATGGCCAGCCTTTCGGGGGCCGGAGAGACGTGAGCAACAGGCCGCCTTGCGGAGGGCAAAGCCACGCGGAAACCAAAATCACGCCTCCGTCGTCCTGCGTGTGGCTCCTCCGTGGCCGGGGCTGTCGGCCTCGCGCCGCGTTGCAGGGCTCAGCCTGGGGATGTGCGGTCTGTGAACCGCGCGGGTGAAAACCCGACGGCAACCCGAGTCCCGGTCTTTTGTCCCGGAGGAAACCGCCCACTCCCTGGGCCCCGGAACCGGGGCGAATGGGTGGTGCCCCGCCGGCCGGCGCGGCGGCTGTGGGCCCAGCCCTCAGCCCGCGCCGGACGCTGACCGTTTTCCCGGAGGGCGGGGGTCCCGCTACTCCCGGAGGCCGAGGACCGCTTTTCCTCCCTGCCTTCCTCCCCCCGTCCGTCCCCGGCTCCCTCCCGCCCGCCCCCAGTCCCCGCGTCGCTCTGTCTTTCCCTCCGTTCCTCCCTGCCTCCCTGCCTCCCTCCCTCCCTCCTAACGTCCCTCCGCCCGTCCTTCCGCCCCTCTAGGTCTCCCGTTCCTCTCTCCATCTCTGCCCGCCTTCCCTCCCGCCTGGAACGCTCAGCGTCCCCGGTGTGCGCCGGGCCTGGGGTCTGCGTTCCGCCGCCAGGCGCTCCGTGCTGGCACCTGGGCGGCTGCAGGGGCCCGGGCGGGCGGGCGACGGTGGCGCGGGGGCGCAGAGGAGGCGAGCCGCCGGAGCGGTGTCAGGCCCGGACGCTGCGCGGGGCCAGGTGTTTCGCGGGACGGGGGTCTCCACCCAGCCCAGGGGACGACGCGTTTTCCGGGGGTGGGGGGTGGGGGTGGGGAGGGGGCGGTCAGGCGGCGGGGTGGGCTGGTGGAGAGGCAGGAGAGCTCTGCCCGGGCTGCTCCCACAGCCCAGGCGGCTGCCCGCAAACCCGCGCGTGCGCAGTAGGCGGCCCACCTGCTGGTACCTGGGCCGGCTCTGGGATCCCCGGGATGCCCAGGAAAGAATGGCAGTTCTCCGCGGTGTGGAGTCTCTCACCGGGCCTAGACCTAGAAGGCAGGAATCCCAGGCCGGTCAGCCCGGTGGAGGGGGCGGGGCGGAGACACGCCCCTCCGTAGCCAGCCAGGTGTTCCCCGCGAAAGAGAGGCCACCGCCCTGCCCCGAACCACCCGACCCCGTCCCAACCCCGCGTCCTAAAGCTCCTCCAGCAGAGCCCGGTATTCTTCCTCGCTGAGGGGTGCTTCCAGCGAGGCGGCCTCTTCCGAGGCCTCCAGCTCCCCCGGGGCCTCCGTTTCTAGGAGAGGTTGCGCCTGCTGCAGAAACTCCGGGCTCGCCAGGAGCTCATCCAGCAGCAGGCCGCAGGGGAGTGCAGACCAGGGCGCCGGCTCCTGGAGCGCCTGGGAGGGCGCCGGGATGCCTTGCATCTGCCCCTGCCGCGCGGAGGCGGAGGCGTCCGGGGGCGCGGGCTGGGGAGGTGGAGCTGCCCCGGCTTGGGGTTCCCACGCCGCCCCGGCGACCTGGGGACCCCGGCCCCAGCCCCACCACGGACTCCCCTGGGACGTGGGTGGCGCAAGCACCCCTTGGCCCTGCGGCCCCGCTTGAGCGGGCCCAGGCTGTGCCACCGCGCAGGGGCCCGGCAGGCCGTCGCGCTGCGGGTCCCGGTCCTCCCGGCTTTTGCCCGGGTGCGGAGGCCACCGAGGAGCCTGAGGGTGGGAGAGCGCCCCGTCCGGAGGAGCCGGGGCGGCGTAGGCGAAATCCCCGCGCGCCGGGGCAGGTTGGGAGATCCCCTCTGCCGGCGCGGCCTGGCTGGGCTGCAGCGCGGGGGCGGCCCTCGCTGCCTGGCTCACGAAAGCCCCCTGTGGGAGAGCCCCAGGCGCGCAGGGCACGTGGGGTGCGGGAAGCCCCGTTCCCCACGCGCCGGTGTGGGCGAAGGCGACCCACGAGGGAGCAGGGTGACCCCCGCCGGGGGCCGCGCTGCACAGGCCGCCTGCCTGCGCGGGCGCCCTGCCACCCTGTCCCGGGTGCCTGGCCCTTCGATTCTGAAACCAGATCTGAATCCTGGACTCCGGGAGGCCCGTCTCTCTGGCCAGCTCCTCCCGGGCGGCGATGCCTGGAAAGCGATCCTTCTCAAAGGCTCGGAGGAGCAGGGCGGTCTGGGATCCGGTGACGGCGGTCCGCTTTCGCCGGCCTTCTGGCGGGCCGCGTCTCCCGGGCCAGGGCCGAGATTCCCGCCGGTGCTGCCTCAGCTGGCGTGACCTCTCATTCTGAAACCAAATCTGGACCCTGGGCTCCGGAATGCCGATGGCCTGGGCCAGCCGTTCTCTGGTGGCGATGCCCGGGTACGGGTTCCGCTCAAAGCAGGCTCGCAGGGCCTCGCTTTGGCTCGGGGTCCAAACGAGTCTCCGTCGCCGTCCTCGTCCCCGGGCTTCCGCGGGGAGGGTGCTGTCCGAGGGTGTCGGGAGGGCCATCGCGGTGAGCCCCGGCCGGAATTTCACGGACGGACGCGGGCAGAGAGAGGCCGGCGGGCTCCCGTGCACCTCAGCCGGACTGTGCACTGCGGCAGGTGCAGCCAGGAGGCCTGCCCGGACAGCCAGCCAGCCAGCCAGCCAGCCGCCCTTGTAAAGGCCCACAGGCAGGCAGGCTCCACCCCTTCATGAATGGCGGTGAGCCCCCCTGGGACAGCCCGCCCCACCCCGGAAGGGACCCAGGGCGTCGAGGCCTGGGGCCGGCCGGCGGGGTGGTGGTGGTGGTGGTGGTGGTGGGGGGGGGGGTGGTGGGGGAGGGCGTGGTGGCGGTGGTGGTGGTGGGGCCGGAGAGACGAAGAGGAAGGGGGAGAGGGGGGAGGGGGGAGGGGGGCGCGTTTCGGGGGCCGGCTCTCCGGACCTCTCCAGGGATCCCGCGGGAACGGGAAGCCGCTCTCTGGGCTCCCACGCGTCGGCAGCAGGGAGAAACCAGCCTGGGAGGGTGGAGGGGAGTGTGGAACTGAACCTCCGTGGGAGTCTTGAGTGTGCCAGGCCCTCTCTCCGTGAAGGAGGCAATGCCTGTGGGCGTCGCCGTTGCCGGGACGGTCTCGCACACGCAGGCGTGTGGCTCTCGTTCATTTCCACGTAGAAGACCAGAGCGAGACCCCAGAGAGGAGATGCCTCCCCGGCGTGATGGCCTGACGATGGATTCCCGCGTGCGGCAACGTGGGGAGTCTGCAGTGTGGCCGGTTTGGAACCTGGCAAGGAGAGCGAAGGCACCATGCCGGGCTTGCACCCTTCCCTGCATGTTTCCGGGTGCCCGCAGAGCTCCGGGAGCAAACAGTCGGCATGGCCAGCCTTTCGGGGGCCGGAGAGACGTGAGCAACAGGCCGCCTTGCGGAGGGCAAAGCCACGCGGAAACCAAAATCACGCCTCCGTCGTCCTGCGTGTGGCTCCTCCGTGGCCGGGGCTGTCGGCCTCGCGCCGCGTTGCAGGGCTCAGCCTGGGGATGTGCGGTCTGTGAACCGCGCGGGTGAAAACCCGACGGCAACCCGAGTCCCGGTCTTTTGTCCCGGAGGAAACCGCCCACTCCCTGGGCCCCGGAACCGGGGCGAATGGGTGGTGCCCCGCCGGCCGGCGCGGCGGCTGTGGGCCCAGCCCTCAGCCCGCGCCGGACGCTGACCGTTTTCCCGGAGGGCGGGGGTCCCGCTACTCCCGGAGGCCGAGGACCGCTTTTCCTCCCTGCCTTCCTCCCCCCGTCCGTCCCCGGCTCCCTCCCGCCCGCCCCCAGTCCCCGCGTCGCTCTGTCTTTCCCTCCGTTCCTCCCTGCCTCCCTGCCTCCCTCCCTCCCTCCTAACGTCCCTCCGCCCGTCCTTCCGCCCCTCTAGGTCTCCCGTTCCTCTCTCCATCTCTGCCCGCCTTCCCTCCCGCCTGGAACGCTCAGCGTCCCCGGTGTGCGCCGGGCCTGGGGTCTGCGTTCCGCCGCCAGGCGCTCCGTGCTGGCACCTGGGCGGCTGCAGGGGCCCGGGCGGGCGGGCGACGGTGGCGCGGGGGCGCAGAGGAGGCGAGCCGCCGGAGCGGTGTCAGGCCCGGACGCTGCGCGGGGCCAGGTGTTTCGCGGGACGGGGGTCTCCACCCAGCCCAGGGGACGACGCGTTTTCCGGGGGTGGGGGGTGGGGGTGGGGAGGGGGCGGTCAGGCGGCGGGGTGGGCTGGTGGAGAGGCAGGAGAGCTCTGCCCGGGCTGCTCCCACAGCCCAGGCGGCTGCCCGCAAACCCGCGCGTGCGCAGTAGGCGGCCCACCTGCTGGTACCTGGGCCGGCTCTGGGATCCCCGGGATGCCCAGGAAAGAATGGCAGTTCTCCGCGGTGTGGAGTCTCTCACCGGGCCTAGACCTAGAAGGCAGGAATCCCAGGCCGGTCAGCCCGGTGGAGGGGGCGGGGCGGAGACACGCCCCTCCGTAGCCAGCCAGGTGTTCCCCGCGAAAGAGAGGCCACCGCCCTGCCCCGAACCACCCGACCCCGTCCCAACCCCGCGTCCTAAAGCTCCTCCAGCAGAGCCCGGTATTCTTCCTCGCTGAGGGGTGCTTCCAGCGAGGCGGCCTCTTCCGAGGCCTCCAGCTCCCCCGGGGCCTCCGTTTCTAGGAGAGGTTGCGCCTGCTGCAGAAACTCCGGGCTCGCCAGGAGCTCATCCAGCAGCAGGCCGCAGGGGAGTGCAGACCAGGGCGCCGGCTCCTGGAGCGCCTGGGAGGGCGCCGGGATGCCTTGCATCTGCCCCTGCCGCGCGGAGGCGGAGGCGTCCGGGGGCGCGGGCTGGGGAGGTGGAGCTGCCCCGGCTTGGGGTTCCCACGCCGCCCCGGCGACCTGGGGACCCCGGCCCCAGCCCCACCACGGACTCCCCTGGGACGTGGGTGGCGCAAGCACCCCTTGGCCCTGCGGCCCCGCTTGAGCGGGCCCAGGCTGTGCCACCGCGCAGGGGCCCGGCAGGCCGTCGCGCTGCGGGTCCCGGTCCTCCCGGCTTTTGCCCGGGTGCGGAGGCCACCGAGGAGCCTGAGGGTGGGAGAGCGCCCCGTCCGGAGGAGCCGGGGCGGCGTAGGCGAAATCCCCGCGCGCCGGGGCAGGTTGGGAGATCCCCTCTGCCGGCGCGGCCTGGCTGGGCTGCAGCGCGGGGGCGGCCCTCGCTGCCTGGCTCACGAAAGCCCCCTGTGGGAGAGCCCCAGGCGCGCAGGGCACGTGGGGTGCGGGAAGCCCCGTTCCCCACGCGCCGGTGTGGGCGAAGGCGACCCACGAGGGAGCAGGGTGACCCCCGCCGGGGGCCGCGCTGCACAGGCCGCCTGCCTGCGCGGGCGCCCTGCCACCCTGTCCCGGGTGCCTGGCCCTTCGATTCTGAAACCAGATCTGAATCCTGGACTCCGGGAGGCCCGTCTCTCTGGCCAGCTCCTCCCGGGCGGCGATGCCTGGAAAGCGATCCTTCTCAAAGGCTCGGAGGAGCAGGGCGGTCTGGGATCCGGTGACGGCGGTCCGCTTTCGCCGGCCTTCTGGCGGGCCGCGTCTCCCGGGCCAGGGCCGAGATTCCCGCCGGTGCTGCCTCAGCTGGCGTGACCTCTCATTCTGAAACCAAATCTGGACCCTGGGCTCCGGAATGCCGATGGCCTGGGCCAGCCGTTCTCTGGTGGCGATGCCCGGGTACGGGTTCCGCTCAAAGCAGGCTCGCAGGGCCTCGCTTTGGCTCGGGGTCCAAACGAGTCTCCGTCGCCGTCCTCGTCCCCGGGCTTCCGCGGGGAGGGTGCTGTCCGAGGGTGTCGGGAGGGCCATCGCGGTGAGCCCCGGCCGGAATTTCACGGACGGACGCGGGCAGAGAGAGGCCGGCGGGCTCCCGTGCACCTCAGCCGGACTGTGCACTGCGGCAGGTGCAGCCAGGAGGCCTGCCCGGACAGCCAGCCAGCCAGCCAGCCAGCCGCCCTTGTAAAGGCCCACAGGCAGGCAGGCTCCACCCCTTCATGAATGGCGGTGAGCCCCCCTGGGACAGCCCGCCCCACCCCGGAAGGGACCCAGGGCGTCGAGGCCTGGGGCCGGCCGGCGGGGTGGTGGTGGTGGTGGTGGTGGTGGGGGGGGGGGTGGTGGGGGAGGGCGTGGTGGCGGTGGTGGTGGTGGGGCCGGAGAGACGAAGAGGAAGGGGGAGAGGGGGGAGGGGGGAGGGGGGCGCGTTTCGGGGGCCGGCTCTCCGGACCTCTCCAGGGATCCCGCGGGAACGGGAAGCCGCTCTCTGGGCTCCCACGCGTCGGCAGCAGGGAGAAACCAGCCTGGGAGGGTGGAGGGGAGTGTGGAACTGAACCTCCGTGGGAGTCTTGAGTGTGCCAGGCCCTCTCTCCGTGAAGGAGGCAATGCCTGTGGGCGTCGCCGTTGCCGGGACGGTCTCGCACACGCAGGCGTGTGGCTCTCGTTCATTTCCACGTAGAAGACCAGAGCGAGACCCCAGAGAGGAGATGCCTCCCCGGCGTGATGGCCTGACGATGGATTCCCGCGTGCGGCAACGTGGGGAGTCTGCAGTGTGGCCGGTTTGGAACCTGGCAAGGAGAGCGAAGGCACCATGCCGGGCTTGCACCCTTCCCTGCATGTTTCCGGGTGCCCGCAGAGCTCCGGGAGCAAACAGTCGGCATGGCCAGCCTTTCGGGGGCCGGAGAGACGTGAGCAACAGGCCGCCTTGCGGAGGGCAAAGCCACGCGGAAACCAAAATCACGCCTCCGTCGTCCTGCGTGTGGCTCCTCCGTGGCCGGGGCTGTCGGCCTCGCGCCGCGTTGCAGGGCTCAGCCTGGGGATGTGCGGTCTGTGAACCGCGCGGGTGAAAACCCGACGGCAACCCGAGTCCCGGTCTTTTGTCCCGGAGGAAACCGCCCACTCCCTGGGCCCCGGAACCGGGGCGAATGGGTGGTGCCCCGCCGGCCGGCGCGGCGGCTGTGGGCCCAGCCCTCAGCCCGCGCCGGACGCTGACCGTTTTCCCGGAGGGCGGGGGTCCCGCTACTCCCGGAGGCCGAGGACCGCTTTTCCTCCCTGCCTTCCTCCCCCCGTCCGTCCCCGGCTCCCTCCCGCCCGCCCCCAGTCCCCGCGTCGCTCTGTCTTTCCCTCCGTTCCTCCCTGCCTCCCTGCCTCCCTCCCTCCCTCCTAACGTCCCTCCGCCCGTCCTTCCGCCCCTCTAGGTCTCCCGTTCCTCTCTCCATCTCTGCCCGCCTTCCCTCCCGCCTGGAACGCTCAGCGTCCCCGGTGTGCGCCGGGCCTGGGGTCTGCGTTCCGCCGCCAGGCGCTCCGTGCTGGCACCTGGGCGGCTGCAGGGGCCCGGGCGGGCGGGCGACGGTGGCGCGGGGGCGCAGAGGAGGCGAGCCGCCGGAGCGGTGTCAGGCCCGGACGCTGCGCGGGGCCAGGTGTTTCGCGGGACGGGGGTCTCCACCCAGCCCAGGGGACGACGCGTTTTCCGGGGGTGGGGGGTGGGGGTGGGGAGGGGGCGGTCAGGCGGCGGGGTGGGCTGGTGGAGAGGCAGGAGAGCTCTGCCCGGGCTGCTCCCACAGCCCAGGCGGCTGCCCGCAAACCCGCGCGTGCGCAGTAGGCGGCCCACCTGCTGGTACCTGGGCCGGCTCTGGGATCCCCGGGATGCCCAGGAAAGAATGGCAGTTCTCCGCGGTGTGGAGTCTCTCACCGGGCCTAGACCTAGAAGGCAGGAATCCCAGGCCGGTCAGCCCGGTGGAGGGGGCGGGGCGGAGACACGCCCCTCCGTAGCCAGCCAGGTGTTCCCCGCGAAAGAGAGGCCACCGCCCTGCCCCGAACCACCCGACCCCGTCCCAACCCCGCGTCCTAAAGCTCCTCCAGCAGAGCCCGGTATTCTTCCTCGCTGAGGGGTGCTTCCAGCGAGGCGGCCTCTTCCGAGGCCTCCAGCTCCCCCGGGGCCTCCGTTTCTAGGAGAGGTTGCGCCTGCTGCAGAAACTCCGGGCTCGCCAGGAGCTCATCCAGCAGCAGGCCGCAGGGGAGTGCAGACCAGGGCGCCGGCTCCTGGAGCGCCTGGGAGGGCGCCGGGATGCCTTGCATCTGCCCCTGCCGCGCGGAGGCGGAGGCGTCCGGGGGCGCGGGCTGGGGAGGTGGAGCTGCCCCGGCTTGGGGTTCCCACGCCGCCCCGGCGACCTGGGGACCCCGGCCCCAGCCCCACCACGGACTCCCCTGGGACGTGGGTGGCGCAAGCACCCCTTGGCCCTGCGGCCCCGCTTGAGCGGGCCCAGGCTGTGCCACCGCGCAGGGGCCCGGCAGGCCGTCGCGCTGCGGGTCCCGGTCCTCCCGGCTTTTGCCCGGGTGCGGAGGCCACCGAGGAGCCTGAGGGTGGGAGAGCGCCCCGTCCGGAGGAGCCGGGGCGGCGTAGGCGAAATCCCCGCGCGCCGGGGCAGGTTGGGAGATCCCCTCTGCCGGCGCGGCCTGGCTGGGCTGCAGCGCGGGGGCGGCCCTCGCTGCCTGGCTCACGAAAGCCCCCTGTGGGAGAGCCCCAGGCGCGCAGGGCACGTGGGGTGCGGGAAGCCCCGTTCCCCACGCGCCGGTGTGGGCGAAGGCGACCCACGAGGGAGCAGGGTGACCCCCGCCGGGGGCCGCGCTGCACAGGCCGCCTGCCTGCGCGGGCGCCCTGCCACCCTGTCCCGGGTGCCTGGCCCTTCGATTCTGAAACCAGATCTGAATCCTGGACTCCGGGAGGCCCGTCTCTCTGGCCAGCTCCTCCCGGGCGGCGATGCCTGGAAAGCGATCCTTCTCAAAGGCTCGGAGGAGCAGGGCGGTCTGGGATCCGGTGACGGCGGTCCGCTTTCGCCGGCCTTCTGGCGGGCCGCGTCTCCCGGGCCAGGGCCGAGATTCCCGCCGGTGCTGCCTCAGCTGGCGTGACCTCTCATTCTGAAACCAAATCTGGACCCTGGGCTCCGGAATGCCGATGGCCTGGGCCAGCCGTTCTCTGGTGGCGATGCCCGGGTACGGGTTCCGCTCAAAGCAGGCTCGCAGGGCCTCGCTTTGGCTCGGGGTCCAAACGAGTCTCCGTCGCCGTCCTCGTCCCCGGGCTTCCGCGGGGAGGGTGCTGTCCGAGGGTGTCGGGAGGGCCATCGCGGTGAGCCCCGGCCGGAATTTCACGGACGGACGCGGGCAGAGAGAGGCCGGCGGGCTCCCGTGCACCTCAGCCGGACTGTGCACTGCGGCAGGTGCAGCCAGGAGGCCTGCCCGGACAGCCAGCCAGCCAGCCAGCCAGCCGCCCTTGTAAAGGCCCACAGGCAGGCAGGCTCCACCCCTTCATGAATGGCGGTGAGCCCCCCTGGGACAGCCCGCCCCACCCCGGAAGGGACCCAGGGCGTCGAGGCCTGGGGCCGGCCGGCGGGGTGGTGGTGGTGGTGGTGGTGGTGGGGGGGGGGGTGGTGGGGGAGGGCGTGGTGGCGGTGGTGGTGGTGGGGCCGGAGAGACGAAGAGGAAGGGGGAGAGGGGGGAGGGGGGAGGGGGGCGCGTTTCGGGGGCCGGCTCTCCGGACCTCTCCAGGGATCCCGCGGGAACGGGAAGCCGCTCTCTGGGCTCCCACGCGTCGGCAGCAGGGAGAAACCAGCCTGGGAGGGTGGAGGGGAGTGTGGAACTGAACCTCCGTGGGAGTCTTGAGTGTGCCAGGCCCTCTCTCCGTGAAGGAGGCAATGCCTGTGGGCGTCGCCGTTGCCGGGACGGTCTCGCACACGCAGGCGTGTGGCTCTCGTTCATTTCCACGTAGAAGACCAGAGCGAGACCCCAGAGAGGAGATGCCTCCCCGGCGTGATGGCCTGACGATGGATTCCCGCGTGCGGCAACGTGGGGAGTCTGCAGTGTGGCCGGTTTGGAACCTGGCAAGGAGAGCGAAGGCACCATGCCGGGCTTGCACCCTTCCCTGCATGTTTCCGGGTGCCCGCAGAGCTCCGGGAGCAAACAGTCGGCATGGCCAGCCTTTCGGGGGCCGGAGAGACGTGAGCAACAGGCCGCCTTGCGGAGGGCAAAGCCACGCGGAAACCAAAATCACGCCTCCGTCGTCCTGCGTGTGGCTCCTCCGTGGCCGGGGCTGTCGGCCTCGCGCCGCGTTGCAGGGCTCAGCCTGGGGATGTGCGGTCTGTGAACCGCGCGGGTGAAAACCCGACGGCAACCCGAGTCCCGGTCTTTTGTCCCGGAGGAAACCGCCCACTCCCTGGGCCCCGGAACCGGGGCGAATGGGTGGTGCCCCGCCGGCCGGCGCGGCGGCTGTGGGCCCAGCCCTCAGCCCGCGCCGGACGCTGACCGTTTTCCCGGAGGGCGGGGGTCCCGCTACTCCCGGAGGCCGAGGACCGCTTTTCCTCCCTGCCTTCCTCCCCCCGTCCGTCCCCGGCTCCCTCCCGCCCGCCCCCAGTCCCCGCGTCGCTCTGTCTTTCCCTCCGTTCCTCCCTGCCTCCCTGCCTCCCTCCCTCCCTCCTAACGTCCCTCCGCCCGTCCTTCCGCCCCTCTAGGTCTCCCGTTCCTCTCTCCATCTCTGCCCGCCTTCCCTCCCGCCTGGAACGCTCAGCGTCCCCGGTGTGCGCCGGGCCTGGGGTCTGCGTTCCGCCGCCAGGCGCTCCGTGCTGGCACCTGGGCGGCTGCAGGGGCCCGGGCGGGCGGGCGACGGTGGCGCGGGGGCGCAGAGGAGGCGAGCCGCCGGAGCGGTGTCAGGCCCGGACGCTGCGCGGGGCCAGGTGTTTCGCGGGACGGGGGTCTCCACCCAGCCCAGGGGACGACGCGTTTTCCGGGGGTGGGGGGTGGGGGTGGGGAGGGGGCGGTCAGGCGGCGGGGTGGGCTGGTGGAGAGGCAGGAGAGCTCTGCCCGGGCTGCTCCCACAGCCCAGGCGGCTGCCCGCAAACCCGCGCGTGCGCAGTAGGCGGCCCACCTGCTGGTACCTGGGCCGGCTCTGGGATCCCCGGGATGCCCAGGAAAGAATGGCAGTTCTCCGCGGTGTGGAGTCTCTCACCGGGCCTAGACCTAGAAGGCAGGAATCCCAGGCCGGTCAGCCCGGTGGAGGGGGCGGGGCGGAGACACGCCCCTCCGTAGCCAGCCAGGTGTTCCCCGCGAAAGAGAGGCCACCGCCCTGCCCCGAACCACCCGACCCCGTCCCAACCCCGCGTCCTAAAGCTCCTCCAGCAGAGCCCGGTATTCTTCCTCGCTGAGGGGTGCTTCCAGCGAGGCGGCCTCTTCCGAGGCCTCCAGCTCCCCCGGGGCCTCCGTTTCTAGGAGAGGTTGCGCCTGCTGCAGAAACTCCGGGCTCGCCAGGAGCTCATCCAGCAGCAGGCCGCAGGGGAGTGCAGACCAGGGCGCCGGCTCCTGGAGCGCCTGGGAGGGCGCCGGGATGCCTTGCATCTGCCCCTGCCGCGCGGAGGCGGAGGCGTCCGGGGGCGCGGGCTGGGGAGGTGGAGCTGCCCCGGCTTGGGGTTCCCACGCCGCCCCGGCGACCTGGGGACCCCGGCCCCAGCCCCACCACGGACTCCCCTGGGACGTGGGTGGCGCAAGCACCCCTTGGCCCTGCGGCCCCGCTTGAGCGGGCCCAGGCTGTGCCACCGCGCAGGGGCCCGGCAGGCCGTCGCGCTGCGGGTCCCGGTCCTCCCGGCTTTTGCCCGGGTGCGGAGGCCACCGAGGAGCCTGAGGGTGGGAGAGCGCCCCGTCCGGAGGAGCCGGGGCGGCGTAGGCGAAATCCCCGCGCGCCGGGGCAGGTTGGGAGATCCCCTCTGCCGGCGCGGCCTGGCTGGGCTGCAGCGCGGGGGCGGCCCTCGCTGCCTGGCTCACGAAAGCCCCCTGTGGGAGAGCCCCAGGCGCGCAGGGCACGTGGGGTGCGGGAAGCCCCGTTCCCCACGCGCCGGTGTGGGCGAAGGCGACCCACGAGGGAGCAGGGTGACCCCCGCCGGGGGCCGCGCTGCACAGGCCGCCTGCCTGCGCGGGCGCCCTGCCACCCTGTCCCGGGTGCCTGGCCCTTCGATTCTGAAACCAGATCTGAATCCTGGACTCCGGGAGGCCCGTCTCTCTGGCCAGCTCCTCCCGGGCGGCGATGCCTGGAAAGCGATCCTTCTCAAAGGCTCGGAGGAGCAGGGCGGTCTGGGATCCGGTGACGGCGGTCCGCTTTCGCCGGCCTTCTGGCGGGCCGCGTCTCCCGGGCCAGGGCCGAGATTCCCGCCGGTGCTGCCTCAGCTGGCGTGACCTCTCATTCTGAAACCAAATCTGGACCCTGGGCTCCGGAATGCCGATGGCCTGGGCCAGCCGTTCTCTGGTGGCGATGCCCGGGTACGGGTTCCGCTCAAAGCAGGCTCGCAGGGCCTCGCTTTGGCTCGGGGTCCAAACGAGTCTCCGTCGCCGTCCTCGTCCCCGGGCTTCCGCGGGGAGGGTGCTGTCCGAGGGTGTCGGGAGGGCCATCGCGGTGAGCCCCGGCCGGAATTTCACGGACGGACGCGGGCAGAGAGAGGCCGGCGGGCTCCCGTGCACCTCAGCCGGACTGTGCACTGCGGCAGGTGCAGCCAGGAGGCCTGCCCGGACAGCCAGCCAGCCAGCCAGCCAGCCGCCCTTGTAAAGGCCCACAGGCAGGCAGGCTCCACCCCTTCATGAATGGCGGTGAGCCCCCCTGGGACAGCCCGCCCCACCCCGGAAGGGACCCAGGGCGTCGAGGCCTGGGGCCGGCCGGCGGGGTGGTGGTGGTGGTGGTGGTGGTGGGGGGGGGGGTGGTGGGGGAGGGCGTGGTGGCGGTGGTGGTGGTGGGGCCGGAGAGACGAAGAGGAAGGGGGAGAGGGGGGAGGGGGGAGGGGGGCGCGTTTCGGGGGCCGGCTCTCCGGACCTCTCCAGGGATCCCGCGGGAACGGGAAGCCGCTCTCTGGGCTCCCACGCGTCGGCAGCAGGGAGAAACCAGCCTGGGAGGGTGGAGGGGAGTGTGGAACTGAACCTCCGTGGGAGTCTTGAGTGTGCCAGGCCCTCTCTCCGTGAAGGAGGCAATGCCTGTGGGCGTCGCCGTTGCCGGGACGGTCTCGCACACGCAGGCGTGTGGCTCTCGTTCATTTCCACGTAGAAGACCAGAGCGAGACCCCAGAGAGGAGATGCCTCCCCGGCGTGATGGCCTGACGATGGATTCCCGCGTGCGGCAACGTGGGGAGTCTGCAGTGTGGCCGGTTTGGAACCTGGCAAGGAGAGCGAAGGCACCATGCCGGGCTTGCACCCTTCCCTGCATGTTTCCGGGTGCCCGCAGAGCTCCGGGAGCAAACAGTCGGCATGGCCAGCCTTTCGGGGGCCGGAGAGACGTGAGCAACAGGCCGCCTTGCGGAGGGCAAAGCCACGCGGAAACCAAAATCACGCCTCCGTCGTCCTGCGTGTGGCTCCTCCGTGGCCGGGGCTGTCGGCCTCGCGCCGCGTTGCAGGGCTCAGCCTGGGGATGTGCGGTCTGTGAACCGCGCGGGTGAAAACCCGACGGCAACCCGAGTCCCGGTCTTTTGTCCCGGAGGAAACCGCCCACTCCCTGGGCCCCGGAACCGGGGCGAATGGGTGGTGCCCCGCCGGCCGGCGCGGCGGCTGTGGGCCCAGCCCTCAGCCCGCGCCGGACGCTGACCGTTTTCCCGGAGGGCGGGGGTCCCGCTACTCCCGGAGGCCGAGGACCGCTTTTCCTCCCTGCCTTCCTCCCCCCGTCCGTCCCCGGCTCCCTCCCGCCCGCCCCCAGTCCCCGCGTCGCTCTGTCTTTCCCTCCGTTCCTCCCTGCCTCCCTGCCTCCCTCCCTCCCTCCTAACGTCCCTCCGCCCGTCCTTCCGCCCCTCTAGGTCTCCCGTTCCTCTCTCCATCTCTGCCCGCCTTCCCTCCCGCCTGGAACGCTCAGCGTCCCCGGTGTGCGCCGGGCCTGGGGTCTGCGTTCCGCCGCCAGGCGCTCCGTGCTGGCACCTGGGCGGCTGCAGGGGCCCGGGCGGGCGGGCGACGGTGGCGCGGGGGCGCAGAGGAGGCGAGCCGCCGGAGCGGTGTCAGGCCCGGACGCTGCGCGGGGCCAGGTGTTTCGCGGGACGGGGGTCTCCACCCAGCCCAGGGGACGACGCGTTTTCCGGGGGTGGGGGGTGGGGGTGGGGAGGGGGCGGTCAGGCGGCGGGGTGGGCTGGTGGAGAGGCAGGAGAGCTCTGCCCGGGCTGCTCCCACAGCCCAGGCGGCTGCCCGCAAACCCGCGCGTGCGCAGTAGGCGGCCCACCTGCTGGTACCTGGGCCGGCTCTGGGATCCCCGGGATGCCCAGGAAAGAATGGCAGTTCTCCGCGGTGTGGAGTCTCTCACCGGGCCTAGACCTAGAAGGCAGGAATCCCAGGCCGGTCAGCCCGGTGGAGGGGGCGGGGCGGAGACACGCCCCTCCGTAGCCAGCCAGGTGTTCCCCGCGAAAGAGAGGCCACCGCCCTGCCCCGAACCACCCGACCCCGTCCCAACCCCGCGTCCTAAAGCTCCTCCAGCAGAGCCCGGTATTCTTCCTCGCTGAGGGGTGCTTCCAGCGAGGCGGCCTCTTCCGAGGCCTCCAGCTCCCCCGGGGCCTCCGTTTCTAGGAGAGGTTGCGCCTGCTGCAGAAACTCCGGGCTCGCCAGGAGCTCATCCAGCAGCAGGCCGCAGGGGAGTGCAGACCAGGGCGCCGGCTCCTGGAGCGCCTGGGAGGGCGCCGGGATGCCTTGCATCTGCCCCTGCCGCGCGGAGGCGGAGGCGTCCGGGGGCGCGGGCTGGGGAGGTGGAGCTGCCCCGGCTTGGGGTTCCCACGCCGCCCCGGCGACCTGGGGACCCCGGCCCCAGCCCCACCACGGACTCCCCTGGGACGTGGGTGGCGCAAGCACCCCTTGGCCCTGCGGCCCCGCTTGAGCGGGCCCAGGCTGTGCCACCGCGCAGGGGCCCGGCAGGCCGTCGCGCTGCGGGTCCCGGTCCTCCCGGCTTTTGCCCGGGTGCGGAGGCCACCGAGGAGCCTGAGGGTGGGAGAGCGCCCCGTCCGGAGGAGCCGGGGCGGCGTAGGCGAAATCCCCGCGCGCCGGGGCAGGTTGGGAGATCCCCTCTGCCGGCGCGGCCTGGCTGGGCTGCAGCGCGGGGGCGGCCCTCGCTGCCTGGCTCACGAAAGCCCCCTGTGGGAGAGCCCCAGGCGCGCAGGGCACGTGGGGTGCGGGAAGCCCCGTTCCCCACGCGCCGGTGTGGGCGAAGGCGACCCACGAGGGAGCAGGGTGACCCCCGCCGGGGGCCGCGCTGCACAGGCCGCCTGCCTGCGCGGGCGCCCTGCCACCCTGTCCCGGGTGCCTGGCCCTTCGATTCTGAAACCAGATCTGAATCCTGGACTCCGGGAGGCCCGTCTCTCTGGCCAGCTCCTCCCGGGCGGCGATGCCTGGAAAGCGATCCTTCTCAAAGGCTCGGAGGAGCAGGGCGGTCTGGGATCCGGTGACGGCGGTCCGCTTTCGCCGGCCTTCTGGCGGGCCGCGTCTCCCGGGCCAGGGCCGAGATTCCCGCCGGTGCTGCCTCAGCTGGCGTGACCTCTCATTCTGAAACCAAATCTGGACCCTGGGCTCCGGAATGCCGATGGCCTGGGCCAGCCGTTCTCTGGTGGCGATGCCCGGGTACGGGTTCCGCTCAAAGCAGGCTCGCAGGGCCTCGCTTTGGCTCGGGGTCCAAACGAGTCTCCGTCGCCGTCCTCGTCCCCGGGCTTCCGCGGGGAGGGTGCTGTCCGAGGGTGTCGGGAGGGCCATCGCGGTGAGCCCCGGCCGGAATTTCACGGACGGACGCGGGCAGAGAGAGGCCGGCGGGCTCCCGTGCACCTCAGCCGGACTGTGCACTGCGGCAGGTGCAGCCAGGAGGCCTGCCCGGACAGCCAGCCAGCCAGCCAGCCAGCCGCCCTTGTAAAGGCCCACAGGCAGGCAGGCTCCACCCCTTCATGAATGGCGGTGAGCCCCCCTGGGACAGCCCGCCCCACCCCGGAAGGGACCCAGGGCGTCGAGGCCTGGGGCCGGCCGGCGGGGTGGTGGTGGTGGTGGTGGTGGTGGGGGGGGGGGTGGTGGGGGAGGGCGTGGTGGCGGTGGTGGTGGTGGGGCCGGAGAGACGAAGAGGAAGGGGGAGAGGGGGGAGGGGGGAGGGGGGCGCGTTTCGGGGGCCGGCTCTCCGGACCTCTC
Organism: Homo sapiens; assembly: GCF_000001405.40. Taxonomy (NCBI): domain Eukaryota; kingdom Metazoa; phylum Chordata; class Mammalia; order Primates; family Hominidae; genus Homo; species Homo sapiens. Next base: position 183,271 of record NW_015495301.1, on the reverse strand, counting down.
CAGGGATCCCGCGGGAACGGGAAGCCGCTCTCTGGGCTCCCACGCGTCGGCAGCAGGGAGAAACCAGCCTGGGAGGGTGGAGGGGAGTGTGGAACTGAACCTCCGTGGGAGTCTTGAGTGTGCCAGGCCCTCTCTCCGTGAAGGAGGCAATGCCTGTGGGCGTCGCCGTTGCCGGGACGGTCTCGCACACGCAGGCGTGTGGCTCTCGTTCATTTCCACGTAGAAGACCAGAGCGAGACCCCAGAGAGGAGATGCCTCCCCGGCGTGATGGCCTGACGATGGATTCCCGCGTGCGGCAACGTGGGGAGTCTGCAGTGTGGCCGGTTTGGAACCTGGCAAGGAGAGCGAAGGCACCATGCCGGGCTTGCACCCTTCCCTGCATGTTTCCGGGTGCCCGCAGAGCTCCGGGAGCAAACAGTCGGCATGGCCAGCCTTTCGGGGGCCGGAGAGACGTGAGCAACAGGCCGCCTTGCGGAGGGCAAAGCCACGCGGAAACCAAAATCACGCCTCCGTCGTCCTGCGTGTGGCTCCTCCGTGGCCGGGGCTGTCGGCCTCGCGCCGCGTTGCAGGGCTCAGCCTGGGGATGTGCGGTCTGTGAACCGCGCGGGTGAAAACCCGACGGCAACCCGAGTCCCGGTCTTTTGTCCCGGAGGAAACCGCCCACTCCCTGGGCCCCGGAACCGGGGCGAATGGGTGGTGCCCCGCCGGCCGGCGCGGCGGCTGTGGGCCCAGCCCTCAGCCCGCGCCGGACGCTGACCGTTTTCCCGGAGGGCGGGGGTCCCGCTACTCCCGGAGGCCGAGGACCGCTTTTCCTCCCTGCCTTCCTCCCCCCGTCCGTCCCCGGCTCCCTCCCGCCCGCCCCCAGTCCCCGCGTCGCTCTGTCTTTCCCTCCGTTCCTCCCTGCCTCCCTGCCTCCCTCCCTCCCTCCTAACGTCCCTCCGCCCGTCCTTCCGCCCCTCTAGGTCTCCCGTTCCTCTCTCCATCTCTGCCCGCCTTCCCTCCCGCCTGGAACGCTCAGCGTCCCCGGTGTGCGCCGGGCCTGGGGTCTGCGTTCCGCCGCCAGGCGCTCCGTGCTGGCACCTGGGCGGCTGCAGGGGCCCGGGCGGGCGGGCGACGGTGGCGCGGGGGCGCAGAGGAGGCGAGCCGCCGGAGCGGTGTCAGGCCCGGACGCTGCGCGGGGCCAGGTGTTTCGCGGGACGGGGGTCTCCACCCAGCCCAGGGGACGACGCGTTTTCCGGGGGTGGGGGGTGGGGGTGGGGAGGGGGCGGTCAGGCGGCGGGGTGGGCTGGTGGAGAGGCAGGAGAGCTCTGCCCGGGCTGCTCCCACAGCCCAGGCGGCTGCCCGCAAACCCGCGCGTGCGCAGTAGGCGGCCCACCTGCTGGTACCTGGGCCGGCTCTGGGATCCCCGGGATGCCCAGGAAAGAATGGCAGTTCTCCGCGGTGTGGAGTCTCTCACCGGGCCTAGACCTAGAAGGCAGGAATCCCAGGCCGGTCAGCCCGGTGGAGGGGGCGGGGCGGAGACACGCCCCTCCGTAGCCAGCCAGGTGTTCCCCGCGAAAGAGAGGCCACCGCCCTGCCCCGAACCACCCGACCCCGTCCCAACCCCGCGTCCTAAAGCTCCTCCAGCAGAGCCCGGTATTCTTCCTCGCTGAGGGGTGCTTCCAGCGAGGCGGCCTCTTCCGAGGCCTCCAGCTCCCCCGGGGCCTCCGTTTCTAGGAGAGGTTGCGCCTGCTGCAGAAACTCCGGGCTCGCCAGGAGCTCATCCAGCAGCAGGCCGCAGGGGAGTGCAGACCAGGGCGCCGGCTCCTGGAGCGCCTGGGAGGGCGCCGGGATGCCTTGCATCTGCCCCTGCCGCGCGGAGGCGGAGGCGTCCGGGGGCGCGGGCTGGGGAGGTGGAGCTGCCCCGGCTTGGGGTTCCCACGCCGCCCCGGCGACCTGGGGACCCCGGCCCCAGCCCCACCACGGACTCCCCTGGGACGTGGGTGGCGCAAGCACCCCTTGGCCCTGCGGCCCCGCTTGAGCGGGCCCAGGCTGTGCCACCGCGCAGGGGCCCGGCAGGCCGTCGCGCTGCGGGTCCCGGTCCTCCCGGCTTTTGCCCGGGTGCGGAGGCCACCGAGGAGCCTGAGGGTGGGAGAGCGCCCCGTCCGGAGGAGCCGGGGCGGCGTAGGCGAAATCCCCGCGCGCCGGGGCAGGTTGGGAGATCCCCTCTGCCGGCGCGGCCTGGCTGGGCTGCAGCGCGGGGGCGGCCCTCGCTGCCTGGCTCACGAAAGCCCCCTGTGGGAGAGCCCCAGGCGCGCAGGGCACGTGGGGTGCGGGAAGCCCCGTTCCCCACGCGCCGGTGTGGGCGAAGGCGACCCACGAGGGAGCAGGGTGACCCCCGCCGGGGGCCGCGCTGCACAGGCCGCCTGCCTGCGCGGGCGCCCTGCCACCCTGTCCCGGGTGCCTGGCCCTTCGATTCTGAAACCAGATCTGAATCCTGGACTCCGGGAGGCCCGTCTCTCTGGCCAGCTCCTCCCGGGCGGCGATGCCTGGAAAGCGATCCTTCTCAAAGGCTCGGAGGAGCAGGGCGGTCTGGGATCCGGTGACGGCGGTCCGCTTTCGCCGGCCTTCTGGCGGGCCGCGTCTCCCGGGCCAGGGCCGAGATTCCCGCCGGTGCTGCCTCAGCTGGCGTGACCTCTCATTCTGAAACCAAATCTGGACCCTGGGCTCCGGAATGCCGATGGCCTGGGCCAGCCGTTCTCTGGTGGCGATGCCCGGGTACGGGTTCCGCTCAAAGCAGGCTCGCAGGGCCTCGCTTTGGCTCGGGGTCCAAACGAGTCTCCGTCGCCGTCCTCGTCCCCGGGCTTCCGCGGGGAGGGTGCTGTCCGAGGGTGTCGGGAGGGCCATCGCGGTGAGCCCCGGCCGGAATTTCACGGACGGACGCGGGCAGAGAGAGGCCGGCGGGCTCCCGTGCACCTCAGCCGGACTGTGCACTGCGGCAGGTGCAGCCAGGAGGCCTGCCCGGACAGCCAGCCAGCCAGCCAGCCAGCCGCCCTTGTAAAGGCCCACAGGCAGGCAGGCTCCACCCCTTCATGAATGGCGGTGAGCCCCCCTGGGACAGCCCGCCCCACCCCGGAAGGGACCCAGGGCGTCGAGGCCTGGGGCCGGCCGGCGGGGTGGTGGTGGTGGTGGTGGTGGTGGGGGGGGGGGTGGTGGGGGAGGGCGTGGTGGCGGTGGTGGTGGTGGGGCCGGAGAGACGAAGAGGAAGGGGGAGAGGGGGGAGGGGGGAGGGGGGCGCGTTTCGGGGGCCGGCTCTCCGGACCTCTCCAGGGATCCCGCGGGAACGGGAAGCCGCTCTCTGGGCTCCCACGCGTCGGCAGCAGGGAGAAACCAGCCTGGGAGGGTGGAGGGGAGTGTGGAACTGAACCTCCGTGGGAGTCTTGAGTGTGCCAGGCCCTCTCTCCGTGAAGGAGGCAATGCCTGTGGGCGTCGCCGTTGCCGGGACGGTCTCGCACACGCAGGCGTGTGGCTCTCGTTCATTTCCACGTAGAAGACCAGAGCGAGACCCCAGAGAGGAGATGCCTCCCCGGCGTGATGGCCTGACGATGGATTCCCGCGTGCGGCAACGTGGGGAGTCTGCAGTGTGGCCGGTTTGGAACCTGGCAAGGAGAGCGAAGGCACCATGCCGGGCTTGCACCCTTCCCTGCATGTTTCCGGGTGCCCGCAGAGCTCCGGGAGCAAACAGTCGGCATGGCCAGCCTTTCGGGGGCCGGAGAGACGTGAGCAACAGGCCGCCTTGCGGAGGGCAAAGCCACGCGGAAACCAAAATCACGCCTCCGTCGTCCTGCGTGTGGCTCCTCCGTGGCCGGGGCTGTCGGCCTCGCGCCGCGTTGCAGGGCTCAGCCTGGGGATGTGCGGTCTGTGAACCGCGCGGGTGAAAACCCGACGGCAACCCGAGTCCCGGTCTTTTGTCCCGGAGGAAACCGCCCACTCCCTGGGCCCCGGAACCGGGGCGAATGGGTGGTGCCCCGCCGGCCGGCGCGGCGGCTGTGGGCCCAGCCCTCAGCCCGCGCCGGACGCTGACCGTTTTCCCGGAGGGCGGGGGTCCCGCTACTCCCGGAGGCCGAGGACCGCTTTTCCTCCCTGCCTTCCTCCCCCCGTCCGTCCCCGGCTCCCTCCCGCCCGCCCCCAGTCCCCGCGTCGCTCTGTCTTTCCCTCCGTTCCTCCCTGCCTCCCTGCCTCCCTCCCTCCCTCCTAACGTCCCTCCGCCCGTCCTTCCGCCCCTCTAGGTCTCCCGTTCCTCTCTCCATCTCTGCCCGCCTTCCCTCCCGCCTGGAACGCTCAGCGTCCCCGGTGTGCGCCGGGCCTGGGGTCTGCGTTCCGCCGCCAGGCGCTCCGTGCTGGCACCTGGGCGGCTGCAGGGGCCCGGGCGGGCGGGCGACGGTGGCGCGGGGGCGCAGAGGAGGCGAGCCGCCGGAGCGGTGTCAGGCCCGGACGCTGCGCGGGGCCAGGTGTTTCGCGGGACGGGGGTCTCCACCCAGCCCAGGGGACGACGCGTTTTCCGGGGGTGGGGGGTGGGGGTGGGGAGGGGGCGGTCAGGCGGCGGGGTGGGCTGGTGGAGAGGCAGGAGAGCTCTGCCCGGGCTGCTCCCACAGCCCAGGCGGCTGCCCGCAAACCCGCGCGTGCGCAGTAGGCGGCCCACCTGCTGGTACCTGGGCCGGCTCTGGGATCCCCGGGATGCCCAGGAAAGAATGGCAGTTCTCCGCGGTGTGGAGTCTCTCACCGGGCCTAGACCTAGAAGGCAGGAATCCCAGGCCGGTCAGCCCGGTGGAGGGGGCGGGGCGGAGACACGCCCCTCCGTAGCCAGCCAGGTGTTCCCCGCGAAAGAGAGGCCACCGCCCTGCCCCGAACCACCCGACCCCGTCCCAACCCCGCGTCCTAAAGCTCCTCCAGCAGAGCCCGGTATTCTTCCTCGCTGAGGGGTGCTTCCAGCGAGGCGGCCTCTTCCGAGGCCTCCAGCTCCCCCGGGGCCTCCGTTTCTAGGAGAGGTTGCGCCTGCTGCAGAAACTCCGGGCTCGCCAGGAGCTCATCCAGCAGCAGGCCGCAGGGGAGTGCAGACCAGGGCGCCGGCTCCTGGAGCGCCTGGGAGGGCGCCGGGATGCCTTGCATCTGCCCCTGCCGCGCGGAGGCGGAGGCGTCCGGGGGCGCGGGCTGGGGAGGTGGAGCTGCCCCGGCTTGGGGTTCCCACGCCGCCCCGGCGACCTGGGGACCCCGGCCCCAGCCCCACCACGGACTCCCCTGGGACGTGGGTGGCGCAAGCACCCCTTGGCCCTGCGGCCCCGCTTGAGCGGGCCCAGGCTGTGCCACCGCGCAGGGGCCCGGCAGGCCGTCGCGCTGCGGGTCCCGGTCCTCCCGGCTTTTGCCCGGGTGCGGAGGCCACCGAGGAGCCTGAGGGTGGGAGAGCGCCCCGTCCGGAGGAGCCGGGGCGGCGTAGGCGAAATCCCCGCGCGCCGGGGCAGGTTGGGAGATCCCCTCTGCCGGCGCGGCCTGGCTGGGCTGCAGCGCGGGGGCGGCCCTCGCTGCCTGGCTCACGAAAGCCCCCTGTGGGAGAGCCCCAGGCGCGCAGGGCACGTGGGGTGCGGGAAGCCCCGTTCCCCACGCGCCGGTGTGGGCGAAGGCGACCCACGAGGGAGCAGGGTGACCCCCGCCGGGGGCCGCGCTGCACAGGCCGCCTGCCTGCGCGGGCGCCCTGCCACCCTGTCCCGGGTGCCTGGCCCTTCGATTCTGAAACCAGATCTGAATCCTGGACTCCGGGAGGCCCGTCTCTCTGGCCAGCTCCTCCCGGGCGGCGATGCCTGGAAAGCGATCCTTCTCAAAGGCTCGGAGGAGCAGGGCGGTCTGGGATCCGGTGACGGCGGTCCGCTTTCGCCGGCCTTCTGGCGGGCCGCGTCTCCCGGGCCAGGGCCGAGATTCCCGCCGGTGCTGCCTCAGCTGGCGTGACCTCTCATTCTGAAACCAAATCTGGACCCTGGGCTCCGGAATGCCGATGGCCTGGGCCAGCCGTTCTCTGGTGGCGATGCCCGGGTACGGGTTCCGCTCAAAGCAGGCTCGCAGGGCCTCGCTTTGGCTCGGGGTCCAAACGAGTCTCCGTCGCCGTCCTCGTCCCCGGGCTTCCGCGGGGAGGGTGCTGTCCGAGGGTGTCGGGAGGGCCATCGCGGTGAGCCCCGGCCGGAATTTCACGGACGGACGCGGGCAGAGAGAGGCCGGCGGGCTCCCGTGCACCTCAGCCGGACTGTGCACTGCGGCAGGTGCAGCCAGGAGGCCTGCCCGGACAGCCAGCCAGCCAGCCAGCCAGCCGCCCTTGTAAAGGCCCACAGGCAGGCAGGCTCCACCCCTTCATGAATGGCGGTGAGCCCCCCTGGGACAGCCCGCCCCACCCCGGAAGGGACCCAGGGCGTCGAGGCCTGGGGCCGGCCGGCGGGGTGGTGGTGGTGGTGGTGGTGGTGGGGGGGGGGGTGGTGGGGGAGGGCGTGGTGGCGGTGGTGGTGGTGGGGCCGGAGAGACGAAGAGGAAGGGGGAGAGGGGGGAGGGGGGAGGGGGGCGCGTTTCGGGGGCCGGCTCTCCGGACCTCTCCAGGGATCCCGCGGGAACGGGAAGCCGCTCTCTGGGCTCCCACGCGTCGGCAGCAGGGAGAAACCAGCCTGGGAGGGTGGAGGGGAGTGTGGAACTGAACCTCCGTGGGAGTCTTGAGTGTGCCAGGCCCTCTCTCCGTGAAGGAGGCAATGCCTGTGGGCGTCGCCGTTGCCGGGACGGTCTCGCACACGCAGGCGTGTGGCTCTCGTTCATTTCCACGTAGAAGACCAGAGCGAGACCCCAGAGAGGAGATGCCTCCCCGGCGTGATGGCCTGACGATGGATTCCCGCGTGCGGCAACGTGGGGAGTCTGCAGTGTGGCCGGTTTGGAACCTGGCAAGGAGAGCGAAGGCACCATGCCGGGCTTGCACCCTTCCCTGCATGTTTCCGGGTGCCCGCAGAGCTCCGGGAGCAAACAGTCGGCATGGCCAGCCTTTCGGGGGCCGGAGAGACGTGAGCAACAGGCCGCCTTGCGGAGGGCAAAGCCACGCGGAAACCAAAATCACGCCTCCGTCGTCCTGCGTGTGGCTCCTCCGTGGCCGGGGCTGTCGGCCTCGCGCCGCGTTGCAGGGCTCAGCCTGGGGATGTGCGGTCTGTGAACCGCGCGGGTGAAAACCCGACGGCAACCCGAGTCCCGGTCTTTTGTCCCGGAGGAAACCGCCCACTCCCTGGGCCCCGGAACCGGGGCGAATGGGTGGTGCCCCGCCGGCCGGCGCGGCGGCTGTGGGCCCAGCCCTCAGCCCGCGCCGGACGCTGACCGTTTTCCCGGAGGGCGGGGGTCCCGCTACTCCCGGAGGCCGAGGACCGCTTTTCCTCCCTGCCTTCCTCCCCCCGTCCGTCCCCGGCTCCCTCCCGCCCGCCCCCAGTCCCCGCGTCGCTCTGTCTTTCCCTCCGTTCCTCCCTGCCTCCCTGCCTCCCTCCCTCCCTCCTAACGTCCCTCCGCCCGTCCTTCCGCCCCTCTAGGTCTCCCGTTCCTCTCTCCATCTCTGCCCGCCTTCCCTCCCGCCTGGAACGCTCAGCGTCCCCGGTGTGCGCCGGGCCTGGGGTCTGCGTTCCGCCGCCAGGCGCTCCGTGCTGGCACCTGGGCGGCTGCAGGGGCCCGGGCGGGCGGGCGACGGTGGCGCGGGGGCGCAGAGGAGGCGAGCCGCCGGAGCGGTGTCAGGCCCGGACGCTGCGCGGGGCCAGGTGTTTCGCGGGACGGGGGTCTCCACCCAGCCCAGGGGACGACGCGTTTTCCGGGGGTGGGGGGTGGGGGTGGGGAGGGGGCGGTCAGGCGGCGGGGTGGGCTGGTGGAGAGGCAGGAGAGCTCTGCCCGGGCTGCTCCCACAGCCCAGGCGGCTGCCCGCAAACCCGCGCGTGCGCAGTAGGCGGCCCACCTGCTGGTACCTGGGCCGGCTCTGGGATCCCCGGGATGCCCAGGAAAGAATGGCAGTTCTCCGCGGTGTGGAGTCTCTCACCGGGCCTAGACCTAGAAGGCAGGAATCCCAGGCCGGTCAGCCCGGTGGAGGGGGCGGGGCGGAGACACGCCCCTCCGTAGCCAGCCAGGTGTTCCCCGCGAAAGAGAGGCCACCGCCCTGCCCCGAACCACCCGACCCCGTCCCAACCCCGCGTCCTAAAGCTCCTCCAGCAGAGCCCGGTATTCTTCCTCGCTGAGGGGTGCTTCCAGCGAGGCGGCCTCTTCCGAGGCCTCCAGCTCCCCCGGGGCCTCCGTTTCTAGGAGAGGTTGCGCCTGCTGCAGAAACTCCGGGCTCGCCAGGAGCTCATCCAGCAGCAGGCCGCAGGGGAGTGCAGACCAGGGCGCCGGCTCCTGGAGCGCCTGGGAGGGCGCCGGGATGCCTTGCATCTGCCCCTGCCGCGCGGAGGCGGAGGCGTCCGGGGGCGCGGGCTGGGGAGGTGGAGCTGCCCCGGCTTGGGGTTCCCACGCCGCCCCGGCGACCTGGGGACCCCGGCCCCAGCCCCACCACGGACTCCCCTGGGACGTGGGTGGCGCAAGCACCCCTTGGCCCTGCGGCCCCGCTTGAGCGGGCCCAGGCTGTGCCACCGCGCAGGGGCCCGGCAGGCCGTCGCGCTGCGGGTCCCGGTCCTCCCGGCTTTTGCCCGGGTGCGGAGGCCACCGAGGAGCCTGAGGGTGGGAGAGCGCCCCGTCCGGAGGAGCCGGGGCGGCGTAGGCGAAATCCCCGCGCGCCGGGGCAGGTTGGGAGATCCCCTCTGCCGGCGCGGCCTGGCTGGGCTGCAGCGCGGGGGCGGCCCTCGCTGCCTGGCTCACGAAAGCCCCCTGTGGGAGAGCCCCAGGCGCGCAGGGCACGTGGGGTGCGGGAAGCCCCGTTCCCCACGCGCCGGTGTGGGCGAAGGCGACCCACGAGGGAGCAGGGTGACCCCCGCCGGGGGCCGCGCTGCACAGGCCGCCTGCCTGCGCGGGCGCCCTGCCACCCTGTCCCGGGTGCCTGGCCCTTCGATTCTGAAACCAGATCTGAATCCTGGACTCCGGGAGGCCCGTCTCTCTGGCCAGCTCCTCCCGGGCGGCGATGCCTGGAAAGCGATCCTTCTCAAAGGCTCGGAGGAGCAGGGCGGTCTGGGATCCGGTGACGGCGGTCCGCTTTCGCCGGCCTTCTGGCGGGCCGCGTCTCCCGGGCCAGGGCCGAGATTCCCGCCGGTGCTGCCTCAGCTGGCGTGACCTCTCATTCTGAAACCAAATCTGGACCCTGGGCTCCGGAATGCCGATGGCCTGGGCCAGCCGTTCTCTGGTGGCGATGCCCGGGTACGGGTTCCGCTCAAAGCAGGCTCGCAGGGCCTCGCTTTGGCTCGGGGTCCAAACGAGTCTCCGTCGCCGTCCTCGTCCCCGGGCTTCCGCGGGGAGGGTGCTGTCCGAGGGTGTCGGGAGGGCCATCGCGGTGAGCCCCGGCCGGAATTTCACGGACGGACGCGGGCAGAGAGAGGCCGGCGGGCTCCCGTGCACCTCAGCCGGACTGTGCACTGCGGCAGGTGCAGCCAGGAGGCCTGCCCGGACAGCCAGCCAGCCAGCCAGCCAGCCGCCCTTGTAAAGGCCCACAGGCAGGCAGGCTCCACCCCTTCATGAATGGCGGTGAGCCCCCCTGGGACAGCCCGCCCCACCCCGGAAGGGACCCAGGGCGTCGAGGCCTGGGGCCGGCCGGCGGGGTGGTGGTGGTGGTGGTGGTGGTGGGGGGGGGGGTGGTGGGGGAGGGCGTGGTGGCGGTGGTGGTGGTGGGGCCGGAGAGACGAAGAGGAAGGGGGAGAGGGGGGAGGGGGGAGGGGGGCGCGTTTCGGGGGCCGGCTCTCCGGACCTCTCCAGGGATCCCGCGGGAACGGGAAGCCGCTCTCTGGGCTCCCACGCGTCGGCAGCAGGGAGAAACCAGCCTGGGAGGGTGGAGGGGAGTGTGGAACTGAACCTCCGTGGGAGTCTTGAGTGTGCCAGGCCCTCTCTCCGTGAAGGAGGCAATGCCTGTGGGCGTCGCCGTTGCCGGGACGGTCTCGCACACGCAGGCGTGTGGCTCTCGTTCATTTCCACGTAGAAGACCAGAGCGAGACCCCAGAGAGGAGATGCCTCCCCGGCGTGATGGCCTGACGATGGATTCCCGCGTGCGGCAACGTGGGGAGTCTGCAGTGTGGCCGGTTTGGAACCTGGCAAGGAGAGCGAAGGCACCATGCCGGGCTTGCACCCTTCCCTGCATGTTTCCGGGTGCCCGCAGAGCTCCGGGAGCAAACAGTCGGCATGGCCAGCCTTTCGGGGGCCGGAGAGACGTGAGCAACAGGCCGCCTTGCGGAGGGCAAAGCCACGCGGAAACCAAAATCACGCCTCCGTCGTCCTGCGTGTGGCTCCTCCGTGGCCGGGGCTGTCGGCCTCGCGCCGCGTTGCAGGGCTCAGCCTGGGGATGTGCGGTCTGTGAACCGCGCGGGTGAAAACCCGACGGCAACCCGAGTCCCGGTCTTTTGTCCCGGAGGAAACCGCCCACTCCCTGGGCCCCGGAACCGGGGCGAATGGGTGGTGCCCCGCCGGCCGGCGCGGCGGCTGTGGGCCCAGCCCTCAGCCCGCGCCGGACGCTGACCGTTTTCCCGGAGGGCGGGGGTCCCGCTACTCCCGGAGGCCGAGGACCGCTTTTCCTCCCTGCCTTCCTCCCCCCGTCCGTCCCCGGCTCCCTCCCGCCCGCCCCCAGTCCCCGCGTCGCTCTGTCTTTCCCTCCGTTCCTCCCTGCCTCCCTGCCTCCCTCCCTCCCTCCTAACGTCCCTCCGCCCGTCCTTCCGCCCCTCTAGGTCTCCCGTTCCTCTCTCCATCTCTGCCCGCCTTCCCTCCCGCCTGGAACGCTCAGCGTCCCCGGTGTGCGCCGGGCCTGGGGTCTGCGTTCCGCCGCCAGGCGCTCCGTGCTGGCACCTGGGCGGCTGCAGGGGCCCGGGCGGGCGGGCGACGGTGGCGCGGGGGCGCAGAGGAGGCGAGCCGCCGGAGCGGTGTCAGGCCCGGACGCTGCGCGGGGCCAGGTGTTTCGCGGGACGGGGGTCTCCACCCAGCCCAGGGGACGACGCGTTTTCCGGGGGTGGGGGGTGGGGGTGGGGAGGGGGCGGTCAGGCGGCGGGGTGGGCTGGTGGAGAGGCAGGAGAGCTCTGCCCGGGCTGCTCCCACAGCCCAGGCGGCTGCCCGCAAACCCGCGCGTGCGCAGTAGGCGGCCCACCTGCTGGTACCTGGGCCGGCTCTGGGATCCCCGGGATGCCCAGGAAAGAATGGCAGTTCTCCGCGGTGTGGAGTCTCTCACCGGGCCTAGACCTAGAAGGCAGGAATCCCAGGCCGGTCAGCCCGGTGGAGGGGGCGGGGCGGAGACACGCCCCTCCGTAGCCAGCCAGGTGTTCCCCGCGAAAGAGAGGCCACCGCCCTGCCCCGAACCACCCGACCCCGTCCCAACCCCGCGTCCTAAAGCTCCTCCAGCAGAGCCCGGTATTCTTCCTCGCTGAGGGGTGCTTCCAGCGAGGCGGCCTCTTCCGAGGCCTCCAGCTCCCCCGGGGCCTCCGTTTCTAGGAGAGGTTGCGCCTGCTGCAGAAACTCCGGGCTCGCCAGGAGCTCATCCAGCAGCAGGCCGCAGGGGAGTGCAGACCAGGGCGCCGGCTCCTGGAGCGCCTGGGAGGGCGCCGGGATGCCTTGCATCTGCCCCTGCCGCGCGGAGGCGGAGGCGTCCGGGGGCGCGGGCTGGGGAGGTGGAGCTGCCCCGGCTTGGGGTTCCCACGCCGCCCCGGCGACCTGGGGACCCCGGCCCCAGCCCCACCACGGACTCCCCTGGGACGTGGGTGGCGCAAGCACCCCTTGGCCCTGCGGCCCCGCTTGAGCGGGCCCAGGCTGTGCCACCGCGCAGGGGCCCGGCAGGCCGTCGCGCTGCGGGTCCCGGTCCTCCCGGCTTTTGCCCGGGTGCGGAGGCCACCGAGGAGCCTGAGGGTGGGAGAGCGCCCCGTCCGGAGGAGCCGGGGCGGCGTAGGCGAAATCCCCGCGCGCCGGGGCAGGTTGGGAGATCCCCTCTGCCGGCGCGGCCTGGCTGGGCTGCAGCGCGGGGGCGGCCCTCGCTGCCTGGCTCACGAAAGCCCCCTGTGGGAGAGCCCCAGGCGCGCAGGGCACGTGGGGTGCGGGAAGCCCCGTTCCCCACGCGCCGGTGTGGGCGAAGGCGACCCACGAGGGAGCAGGGTGACCCCCGCCGGGGGCCGCGCTGCACAGGCCGCCTGCCTGCGCGGGCGCCCTGCCACCCTGTCCCGGGTGCCTGGCCCTTCGATTCTGAAACCAGATCTGAATCCTGGACTCCGGGAGGCCCGTCTCTCTGGCCAGCTCCTCCCGGGCGGCGATGCCTGGAAAGCGATCCTTCTCAAAGGCTCGGAGGAGCAGGGCGGTCTGGGATCCGGTGACGGCGGTCCGCTTTCGCCGGCCTTCTGGCGGGCCGCGTCTCCCGGGCCAGGGCCGAGATTCCCGCCGGTGCTGCCTCAGCTGGCGTGACCTCTCATTCTGAAACCAAATCTGGACCCTGGGCTCCGGAATGCCGATGGCCTGGGCCAGCCGTTCTCTGGTGGCGATGCCCGGGTACGGGTTCCGCTCAAAGCAGGCTCGCAGGGCCTCGCTTTGGCTCGGGGTCCAAACGAGTCTCCGTCGCCGTCCTCGTCCCCGGGCTTCCGCGGGGAGGGTGCTGTCCGAGGGTGTCGGGAGGGCCATCGCGGTGAGCCCCGGCCGGAATTTCACGGACGGACGCGGGCAGAGAGAGGCCGGCGGGCTCCCGTGCACCTCAGCCGGACTGTGCACTGCGGCAGGTGCAGCCAGGAGGCCTGCCCGGACAGCCAGCCAGCCAGCCAGCCAGCCGCCCTTGTAAAGGCCCACAGGCAGGCAGGCTCCACCCCTTCATGAATGGCGGTGAGCCCCCCTGGGACAGCCCGCCCCACCCCGGAAGGGACCCAGGGCGTCGAGGCCTGGGGCCGGCCGGCGGGGTGGTGGTGGTGGTGGTGGTGGTGGGGGGGGGGGTGGTGGGGGAGGGCGTGGTGGCGGTGGTGGTGGTGGGGCCGGAGAGACGAAGAGGAAGGGGGAGAGGGGGGAGGGGGGAGGGGGGCGCGTTTCGGGGGCCGGCTCTCCGGACCTCTCCAGGGATCCCGCGGGAACGGGAAGCCGCTCTCTGGGCTCCCACGCGTCGGCAGCAGGGAGAAACCAGCCTGGGAGGGTGGAGGGGAGTGTGGAACTGAACCTCCGTGGGAGTCTTGAGTGTGCCAGGCCCTCTCTCCGTGAAGGAGGCAATGCCTGTGGGCGTCGCCGTTGCCGGGACGGTCTCGCACACGCAGGCGTGTGGCTCTCGTTCATTTCCACGTAGAAGACCAGAGCGAGACCCCAGAGAGGAGATGCCTCCCCGGCGTGATGGCCTGACGATGGATTCCCGCGTGCGGCAACGTGGGGAGTCTGCAGTGTGGCCGGTTTGGAACCTGGCAAGGAGAGCGAAGGCACCATGCCGGGCTTGCACCCTTCCCTGCATGTTTCCGGGTGCCCGCAGAGCTCCGGGAGCAAACAGTCGGCATGGCCAGCCTTTCGGGGGCCGGAGAGACGTGAGCAACAGGCCGCCTTGCGGAGGGCAAAGCCACGCGGAAACCAAAATCACGCCTCCGTCGTCCTGCGTGTGGCTCCTCCGTGGCCGGGGCTGTCGGCCTCGCGCCGCGTTGCAGGGCTCAGCCTGGGGATGTGCGGTCTGTGAACCGCGCGGGTGAAAACCCGACGGCAACCCGAGTCCCGGTCTTTTGTCCCGGAGGAAACCGCCCACTCCCTGGGCCCCGGAACCGGGGCGAATGGGTGGTGCCCCGCCGGCCGGCGCGGCGGCTGTGGGCCCAGCCCTCAGCCCGCGCCGGACGCTGACCGTTTTCCCGGAGGGCGGGGGTCCCGCTACTCCCGGAGGCCGAGGACCGCTTTTCCTCCCTGCCTTCCTCCCCCCGTCCGTCCCCGGCTCCCTCCCGCCCGCCCCCAGTCCCCGCGTCGCTCTGTCTTTCCCTCCGTTCCTCCCTGCCTCCCTGCCTCCCTCCCTCCCTCCTAACGTCCCTCCGCCCGTCCTTCCGCCCCTCTAGGTCTCCCGTTCCTCTCTCCATCTCTGCCCGCCTTCCCTCCCGCCTGGAACGCTCAGCGTCCCCGGTGTGCGCCGGGCCTGGGGTCTGCGTTCCGCCGCCAGGCGCTCCGTGCTGGCACCTGGGCGGCTGCAGGGGCCCGGGCGGGCGGGCGACGGTGGCGCGGGGGCGCAGAGGAGGCGAGCCGCCGGAGCGGTGTCAGGCCCGGACGCTGCGCGGGGCCAGGTGTTTCGCGGGACGGGGGTCTCCACCCAGCCCAGGGGACGACGCGTTTTCCGGGGGTGGGGGGTGGGGGTGGGGAGGGGGCGGTCAGGCGGCGGGGTGGGCTGGTGGAGAGGCAGGAGAGCTCTGCCCGGGCTGCTCCCACAGCCCAGGCGGCTGCCCGCAAACCCGCGCGTGCGCAGTAGGCGGCCCACCTGCTGGTACCTGGGCCGGCTCTGGGATCCCCGGGATGCCCAGGAAAGAATGGCAGTTCTCCGCGGTGTGGAGTCTCTCACCGGGCCTAGACCTAGAAGGCAGGAATCCCAGGCCGGTCAGCCCGGTGGAGGGGGCGGGGCGGAGACACGCCCCTCCGTAGCCAGCCAGGTGTTCCCCGCGAAAGAGAGGCCACCGCCCTGCCCCGAACCACCCGACCCCGTCCCAACCCCGCGTCCTAAAGCTCCTCCAGCAGAGCCCGGTATTCTTCCTCGCTGAGGGGTGCTTCCAGCGAGGCGGCCTCTTCCGAGGCCTCCAGCTCCCCCGGGGCCTCCGTTTCTAGGAGAGGTTGCGCCTGCTGCAGAAACTCCGGGCTCGCCAGGAGCTCATCCAGCAGCAGGCCGCAGGGGAGTGCAGACCAGGGCGCCGGCTCCTGGAGCGCCTGGGAGGGCGCCGGGATGCCTTGCATCTGCCCCTGCCGCGCGGAGGCGGAGGCGTCCGGGGGCGCGGGCTGGGGAGGTGGAGCTGCCCCGGCTTGGGGTTCCCACGCCGCCCCGGCGACCTGGGGACCCCGGCCCCAGCCCCACCACGGACTCCCCTGGGACGTGGGTGGCGCAAGCACCCCTTGGCCCTGCGGCCCCGCTTGAGCGGGCCCAGGCTGTGCCACCGCGCAGGGGCCCGGCAGGCCGTCGCGCTGCGGGTCCCGGTCCTCCCGGCTTTTGCCCGGGTGCGGAGGCCACCGAGGAGCCTGAGGGTGGGAGAGCGCCCCGTCCGGAGGAGCCGGGGCGGCGTAGGCGAAATCCCCGCGCGCCGGGGCAGGTTGGGAGATCCCCTCTGCCGGCGCGGCCTGGCTGGGCTGCAGCGCGGGGGCGGCCCTCGCTGCCTGGCTCACGAAAGCCCCCTGTGGGAGAGCCCCAGGCGCGCAGGGCACGTGGGGTGCGGGAAGCCCCGTTCCCCACGCGCCGGTGTGGGCGAAGGCGACCCACGAGGGAGCAGGGTGACCCCCGCCGGGGGCCGCGCTGCACAGGCCGCCTGCCTGCGCGGGCGCCCTGCCACCCTGTCCCGGGTGCCTGGCCCTTCGATTCTGAAACCAGATCTGAATCCTGGACTCCGGGAGGCCCGTCTCTCTGGCCAGCTCCTCCCGGGCGGCGATGCCTGGAAAGCGATCCTTCTCAAAGGCTCGGAGGAGCAGGGCGGTCTGGGATCCGGTGACGGCGGTCCGCTTTCGCCGGCCTTCTGGCGGGCCGCGTCTCCCGGGCCAGGGCCGAGATTCCCGCCGGTGCTGCCTCAGCTGGCGTGACCTCTCATTCTGAAACCAAATCTGGACCCTGGGCTCCGGAATGCCGATGGCCTGGGCCAGCCGTTCTCTGGTGGCGATGCCCGGGTACGGGTTCCGCTCAAAGCAGGCTCGCAGGGCCTCGCTTTGGCTCGGGGTCCAAACGAGTCTCCGTCGCCGTCCTCGTCCCCGGGCTTCCGCGGGGAGGGTGCTGTCCGAGGGTGTCGGGAGGGCCATCGCGGTGAGCCCCGGCCGGAATTTCACGGACGGACGCGGGCAGAGAGAGGCCGGCGGGCTCCCGTGCACCTCAGCCGGACTGTGCACTGCGGCAGGTGCAGCCAGGAGGCCTGCCCGGACAGCCAGCCAGCCAGCCAGCCAGCCGCCCTTGTAAAGGCCCACAGGCAGGCAGGCTCCACCCCTTCATGAATGGCGGTGAGCCCCCCTGGGACAGCCCGCCCCACCCCGGAAGGGACCCAGGGCGTCGAGGCCTGGGGCCGGCCGGCGGGGTGGTGGTGGTGGTGGTGGTGGTGGGGGGGGGGGTGGTGGGGGAGGGCGTGGTGGCGGTGGTGGTGGTGGGGCCGGAGAGACGAAGAGGAAGGGGGAGAGGGGGGAGGGGGGAGGGGGGCGCGTTTCGGGGGCCGGCTCTCCGGACCTCTCCAGGGATCCCGCGGGAACGGGAAGCCGCTCTCTGGGCTCCCACGCGTCGGCAGCAGGGAGAAACCAGCCTGGGAGGGTGGAGGGGAGTGTGGAACTGAACCTCCGTGGGAGTCTTGAGTGTGCCAGGCCCTCTCTCCGTGAAGGAGGCAATGCCTGTGGGCGTCGCCGTTGCCGGGACGGTCTCGCACACGCAGGCGTGTGGCTCTCGTTCATTTCCACGTAGAAGACCAGAGCGAGACCCCAGAGAGGAGATGCCTCCCCGGCGTGATGGCCTGACGATGGATTCCCGCGTGCGGCAACGTGGGGAGTCTGCAGTGTGGCCGGTTTGGAACCTGGCAAGGAGAGCGAAGGCACCATGCCGGGCTTGCACCCTTCCCTGCATGTTTCCGGGTGCCCGCAGAGCTCCGGGAGCAAACAGTCGGCATGGCCAGCCTTTCGGGGGCCGGAGAGACGTGAGCAACAGGCCGCCTTGCGGAGGGCAAAGCCACGCGGAAACCAAAATCACGCCTCCGTCGTCCTGCGTGTGGCTCCTCCGTGGCCGGGGCTGTCGGCCTCGCGCCGCGTTGCAGGGCTCAGCCTGGGGATGTGCGGTCTGTGAACCGCGCGGGTGAAAACCCGACGGCAACCCGAGTCCCGGTCTTTTGTCCCGGAGGAAACCGCCCACTCCCTGGGCCCCGGAACCGGGGCGAATGGGTGGTGCCCCGCCGGCCGGCGCGGCGGCTGTGGGCCCAGCCCTCAGCCCGCGCCGGACGCTGACCGTTTTCCCGGAGGGCGGGGGTCCCGCTACTCCCGGAGGCCGAGGACCGCTTTTCCTCCCTGCCTTCCTCCCCCCGTCCGTCCCCGGCTCCCTCCCGCCCGCCCCCAGTCCCCGCGTCGCTCTGTCTTTCCCTCCGTTCCTCCCTGCCTCCCTGCCTCCCTCCCTCCCTCCTAACGTCCCTCCGCCCGTCCTTCCGCCCCTCTAGGTCTCCCGTTCCTCTCTCCATCTCTGCCCGCCTTCCCTCCCGCCTGGAACGCTCAGCGTCCCCGGTGTGCGCCGGGCCTGGGGTCTGCGTTCCGCCGCCAGGCGCTCCGTGCTGGCACCTGGGCGGCTGCAGGGGCCCGGGCGGGCGGGCGACGGTGGCGCGGGGGCGCAGAGGAGGCGAGCCGCCGGAGCGGTGTCAGGCCCGGACGCTGCGCGGGGCCAGGTGTTTCGCGGGACGGGGGTCTCCACCCAGCCCAGGGGACGACGCGTTTTCCGGGGGTGGGGGGTGGGGGTGGGGAGGGGGCGGTCAGGCGGCGGGGTGGGCTGGTGGAGAGGCAGGAGAGCTCTGCCCGGGCTGCTCCCACAGCCCAGGCGGCTGCCCGCAAACCCGCGCGTGCGCAGTAGGCGGCCCACCTGCTGGTACCTGGGCCGGCTCTGGGATCCCCGGGATGCCCAGGAAAGAATGGCAGTTCTCCGCGGTGTGGAGTCTCTCACCGGGCCTAGACCTAGAAGGCAGGAATCCCAGGCCGGTCAGCCCGGTGGAGGGGGCGGGGCGGAGACACGCCCCTCCGTAGCCAGCCAGGTGTTCCCCGCGAAAGAGAGGCCACCGCCCTGCCCCGAACCACCCGACCCCGTCCCAACCCCGCGTCCTAAAGCTCCTCCAGCAGAGCCCGGTATTCTTCCTCGCTGAGGGGTGCTTCCAGCGAGGCGGCCTCTTCCGAGGCCTCCAGCTCCCCCGGGGCCTCCGTTTCTAGGAGAGGTTGCGCCTGCTGCAGAAACTCCGGGCTCGCCAGGAGCTCATCCAGCAGCAGGCCGCAGGGGAGTGCAGACCAGGGCGCCGGCTCCTGGAGCGCCTGGGAGGGCGCCGGGATGCCTTGCATCTGCCCCTGCCGCGCGGAGGCGGAGGCGTCCGGGGGCGCGGGCTGGGGAGGTGGAGCTGCCCCGGCTTGGGGTTCCCACGCCGCCCCGGCGACCTGGGGACCCCGGCCCCAGCCCCACCACGGACTCCCCTGGGACGTGGGTGGCGCAAGCACCCCTTGGCCCTGCGGCCCCGCTTGAGCGGGCCCAGGCTGTGCCACCGCGCAGGGGCCCGGCAGGCCGTCGCGCTGCGGGTCCCGGTCCTCCCGGCTTTTGCCCGGGTGCGGAGGCCACCGAGGAGCCTGAGGGTGGGAGAGCGCCCCGTCCGGAGGAGCCGGGGCGGCGTAGGCGAAATCCCCGCGCGCCGGGGCAGGTTGGGAGATCCCCTCTGCCGGCGCGGCCTGGCTGGGCTGCAGCGCGGGGGCGGCCCTCGCTGCCTGGCTCACGAAAGCCCCCTGTGGGAGAGCCCCAGGCGCGCAGGGCACGTGGGGTGCGGGAAGCCCCGTTCCCCACGCGCCGGTGTGGGCGAAGGCGACCCACGAGGGAGCAGGGTGACCCCCGCCGGGGGCCGCGCTGCACAGGCCGCCTGCCTGCGCGGGCGCCCTGCCACCCTGTCCCGGGTGCCTGGCCCTTCGATTCTGAAACCAGATCTGAATCCTGGACTCCGGGAGGCCCGTCTCTCTGGCCAGCTCCTCCCGGGCGGCGATGCCTGGAAAGCGATCCTTCTCAAAGGCTCGGAGGAGCAGGGCGGTCTGGGATCCGGTGACGGCGGTCCGCTTTCGCCGGCCTTCTGGCGGGCCGCGTCTCCCGGGCCAGGGCCGAGATTCCCGCCGGTGCTGCCTCAGCTGGCGTGACCTCTCATTCTGAAACCAAATCTGGACCCTGGGCTCCGGAATGCCGATGGCCTGGGCCAGCCGTTCTCTGGTGGCGATGCCCGGGTACGGGTTCCGCTCAAAGCAGGCTCGCAGGGCCTCGCTTTGGCTCGGGGTCCAAACGAGTCTCCGTCGCCGTCCTCGTCCCCGGGCTTCCGCGGGGAGGGTGCTGTCCGAGGGTGTCGGGAGGGCCATCGCGGTGAGCCCCGGCCGGAATTTCACGGACGGACGCGGGCAGAGAGAGGCCGGCGGGCTCCCGTGCACCTCAGCCGGACTGTGCACTGCGGCAGGTGCAGCCAGGAGGCCTGCCCGGACAGCCAGCCAGCCAGCCAGCCAGCCGCCCTTGTAAAGGCCCACAGGCAGGCAGGCTCCACCCCTTCATGAATGGCGGTGAGCCCCCCTGGGACAGCCCGCCCCACCCCGGAAGGGACCCAGGGCGTCGAGGCCTGGGGCCGGCCGGCGGGGTGGTGGTGGTGGTGGTGGTGGTGGGGGGGGGGGTGGTGGGGGAGGGCGTGGTGGCGGTGGTGGTGGTGGGGCCGGAGAGACGAAGAGGAAGGGGGAGAGGGGGGAGGGGGGAGGGGGGCGCGTTTCGGGGGCCGGCTCTCCGGACCTCTCCAGGGATCCCGCGGGAACGGGAAGCCGCTCTCTGGGCTCCCACGCGTCGGCAGCAGGGAGAAACCAGCCTGGGAGGGTGGAGGGGAGTGTGGAACTGAACCTCCGTGGGAGTCTTGAGTGTGCCAGGCCCTCTCTCCGTGAAGGAGGCAATGCCTGTGGGCGTCGCCGTTGCCGGGACGGTCTCGCACACGCAGGCGTGTGGCTCTCGTTCATTTCCACGTAGAAGACCAGAGCGAGACCCCAGAGAGGAGATGCCTCCCCGGCGTGATGGCCTGACGATGGATTCCCGCGTGCGGCAACGTGGGGAGTCTGCAGTGTGGCCGGTTTGGAACCTGGCAAGGAGAGCGAAGGCACCATGCCGGGCTTGCACCCTTCCCTGCATGTTTCCGGGTGCCCGCAGAGCTCCGGGAGCAAACAGTCGGCATGGCCAGCCTTTCGGGGGCCGGAGAGACGTGAGCAACAGGCCGCCTTGCGGAGGGCAAAGCCACGCGGAAACCAAAATCACGCCTCCGTCGTCCTGCGTGTGGCTCCTCCGTGGCCGGGGCTGTCGGCCTCGCGCCGCGTTGCAGGGCTCAGCCTGGGGATGTGCGGTCTGTGAACCGCGCGGGTGAAAACCCGACGGCAACCCGAGTCCCGGTCTTTTGTCCCGGAGGAAACCGCCCACTCCCTGGGCCCCGGAACCGGGGCGAATGGGTGGTGCCCCGCCGGCCGGCGCGGCGGCTGTGGGCCCAGCCCTCAGCCCGCGCCGGACGCTGACCGTTTTCCCGGAGGGCGGGGGTCCCGCTACTCCCGGAGGCCGAGGACCGCTTTTCCTCCCTGCCTTCCTCCCCCCGTCCGTCCCCGGCTCCCTCCCGCCCGCCCCCAGTCCCCGCGTCGCTCTGTCTTTCCCTCCGTTCCTCCCTGCCTCCCTGCCTCCCTCCCTCCCTCCTAACGTCCCTCCGCCCGTCCTTCCGCCCCTCTAGGTCTCCCGTTCCTCTCTCCATCTCTGCCCGCCTTCCCTCCCGCCTGGAACGCTCAGCGTCCCCGGTGTGCGCCGGGCCTGGGGTCTGCGTTCCGCCGCCAGGCGCTCCGTGCTGGCACCTGGGCGGCTGCAGGGGCCCGGGCGGGCGGGCGACGGTGGCGCGGGGGCGCAGAGGAGGCGAGCCGCCGGAGCGGTGTCAGGCCCGGACGCTGCGCGGGGCCAGGTGTTTCGCGGGACGGGGGTCTCCACCCAGCCCAGGGGACGACGCGTTTTCCGGGGGTGGGGGGTGGGGGTGGGGAGGGGGCGGTCAGGCGGCGGGGTGGGCTGGTGGAGAGGCAGGAGAGCTCTGCCCGGGCTGCTCCCACAGCCCAGGCGGCTGCCCGCAAACCCGCGCGTGCGCAGTAGGCGGCCCACCTGCTGGTACCTGGGCCGGCTCTGGGATCCCCGGGATGCCCAGGAAAGAATGGCAGTTCTCCGCGGTGTGGAGTCTCTCACCGGGCCTAGACCTAGAAGGCAGGAATCCCAGGCCGGTCAGCCCGGTGGAGGGGGCGGGGCGGAGACACGCCCCTCCGTAGCCAGCCAGGTGTTCCCCGCGAAAGAGAGGCCACCGCCCTGCCCCGAACCACCCGACCCCGTCCCAACCCCGCGTCCTAAAGCTCCTCCAGCAGAGCCCGGTATTCTTCCTCGCTGAGGGGTGCTTCCAGCGAGGCGGCCTCTTCCGAGGCCTCCAGCTCCCCCGGGGCCTCCGTTTCTAGGAGAGGTTGCGCCTGCTGCAGAAACTCCGGGCTCGCCAGGAGCTCATCCAGCAGCAGGCCGCAGGGGAGTGCAGACCAGGGCGCCGGCTCCTGGAGCGCCTGGGAGGGCGCCGGGATGCCTTGCATCTGCCCCTGCCGCGCGGAGGCGGAGGCGTCCGGGGGCGCGGGCTGGGGAGGTGGAGCTGCCCCGGCTTGGGGTTCCCACGCCGCCCCGGCGACCTGGGGACCCCGGCCCCAGCCCCACCACGGACTCCCCTGGGACGTGGGTGGCGCAAGCACCCCTTGGCCCTGCGGCCCCGCTTGAGCGGGCCCAGGCTGTGCCACCGCGCAGGGGCCCGGCAGGCCGTCGCGCTGCGGGTCCCGGTCCTCCCGGCTTTTGCCCGGGTGCGGAGGCCACCGAGGAGCCTGAGGGTGGGAGAGCGCCCCGTCCGGAGGAGCCGGGGCGGCGTAGGCGAAATCCCCGCGCGCCGGGGCAGGTTGGGAGATCCCCTCTGCCGGCGCGGCCTGGCTGGGCTGCAGCGCGGGGGCGGCCCTCGCTGCCTGGCTCACGAAAGCCCCCTGTGGGAGAGCCCCAGGCGCGCAGGGCACGTGGGGTGCGGGAAGCCCCGTTCCCCACGCGCCGGTGTGGGCGAAGGCGACCCACGAGGGAGCAGGGTGACCCCCGCCGGGGGCCGCGCTGCACAGGCCGCCTGCCTGCGCGGGCGCCCTGCCACCCTGTCCCGGGTGCCTGGCCCTTCGATTCTGAAACCAGATCTGAATCCTGGACTCCGGGAGGCCCGTCTCTCTGGCCAGCTCCTCCCGGGCGGCGATGCCTGGAAAGCGATCCTTCTCAAAGGCTCGGAGGAGCAGGGCGGTCTGGGATCCGGTGACGGCGGTCCGCTTTCGCCGGCCTTCTGGCGGGCCGCGTCTCCCGGGCCAGGGCCGAGATTCCCGCCGGTGCTGCCTCAGCTGGCGTGACCTCTCATTCTGAAACCAAATCTGGACCCTGGGCTCCGGAATGCCGATGGCCTGGGCCAGCCGTTCTCTGGTGGCGATGCCCGGGTACGGGTTCCGCTCAAAGCAGGCTCGCAGGGCCTCGCTTTGGCTCGGGGTCCAAACGAGTCTCCGTCGCCGTCCTCGTCCCCGGGCTTCCGCGGGGAGGGTGCTGTCCGAGGGTGTCGGGAGGGCCATCGCGGTGAGCCCCGGCCGGAATTTCACGGACGGACGCGGGCAGAGAGAGGCCGGCGGGCTCCCGTGCACCTCAGCCGGACTGTGCACTGCGGCAGGTGCAGCCAGGAGGCCTGCCCGGACAGCCAGCCAGCCAGCCAGCCAGCCGCCCTTGTAAAGGCCCACAGGCAGGCAGGCTCCACCCCTTCATGAATGGCGGTGAGCCCCCCTGGGACAGCCCGCCCCACCCCGGAAGGGACCCAGGGCGTCGAGGCCTGGGGCCGGCCGGCGGGGTGGTGGTGGTGGTGGTGGTGGTGGGGGGGGGGGTGGTGGGGGAGGGCGTGGTGGCGGTGGTGGTGGTGGGGCCGGAGAGACGAAGAGGAAGGGGGAGAGGGGGGAGGGGGGAGGGGGGCGCGTTTCGGGGGCCGGCTCTCCGGACCTCTCCAGGGATCCCGCGGGAACGGGAAGCCGCTCTCTGGGCTCCCACGCGTCGGCAGCAGGGAGAAACCAGCCTGGGAGGGTGGAGGGGAGTGTGGAACTGAACCTCCGTGGGAGTCTTGAGTGTGCCAGGCCCTCTCTCCGTGAAGGAGGCAATGCCTGTGGGCGTCGCCGTTGCCGGGACGGTCTCGCACACGCAGGCGTGTGGCTCTCGTTCATTTCCACGTAGAAGACCAGAGCGAGACCCCAGAGAGGAGATGCCTCCCCGGCGTGATGGCCTGACGATGGATTCCCGCGTGCGGCAACGTGGGGAGTCTGCAGTGTGGCCGGTTTGGAACCTGGCAAGGAGAGCGAAGGCACCATGCCGGGCTTGCACCCTTCCCTGCATGTTTCCGGGTGCCCGCAGAGCTCCGGGAGCAAACAGTCGGCATGGCCAGCCTTTCGGGGGCCGGAGAGACGTGAGCAACAGGCCGCCTTGCGGAGGGCAAAGCCACGCGGAAACCAAAATCACGCCTCCGTCGTCCTGCGTGTGGCTCCTCCGTGGCCGGGGCTGTCGGCCTCGCGCCGCGTTGCAGGGCTCAGCCTGGGGATGTGCGGTCTGTGAACCGCGCGGGTGAAAACCCGACGGCAACCCGAGTCCCGGTCTTTTGTCCCGGAGGAAACCGCCCACTCCCTGGGCCCCGGAACCGGGGCGAATGGGTGGTGCCCCGCCGGCCGGCGCGGCGGCTGTGGGCCCAGCCCTCAGCCCGCGCCGGACGCTGACCGTTTTCCCGGAGGGCGGGGGTCCCGCTACTCCCGGAGGCCGAGGACCGCTTTTCCTCCCTGCCTTCCTCCCCCCGTCCGTCCCCGGCTCCCTCCCGCCCGCCCCCAGTCCCCGCGTCGCTCTGTCTTTCCCTCCGTTCCTCCCTGCCTCCCTGCCTCCCTCCCTCCCTCCTAACGTCCCTCCGCCCGTCCTTCCGCCCCTCTAGGTCTCCCGTTCCTCTCTCCATCTCTGCCCGCCTTCCCTCCCGCCTGGAACGCTCAGCGTCCCCGGTGTGCGCCGGGCCTGGGGTCTGCGTTCCGCCGCCAGGCGCTCCGTGCTGGCACCTGGGCGGCTGCAGGGGCCCGGGCGGGCGGGCGACGGTGGCGCGGGGGCGCAGAGGAGGCGAGCCGCCGGAGCGGTGTCAGGCCCGGACGCTGCGCGGGGCCAGGTGTTTCGCGGGACGGGGGTCTCCACCCAGCCCAGGGGACGACGCGTTTTCCGGGGGTGGGGGGTGGGGGTGGGGAGGGGGCGGTCAGGCGGCGGGGTGGGCTGGTGGAGAGGCAGGAGAGCTCTGCCCGGGCTGCTCCCACAGCCCAGGCGGCTGCCCGCAAACCCGCGCGTGCGCAGTAGGCGGCCCACCTGCTGGTACCTGGGCCGGCTCTGGGATCCCCGGGATGCCCAGGAAAGAATGGCAGTTCTCCGCGGTGTGGAGTCTCTCACCGGGCCTAGACCTAGAAGGCAGGAATCCCAGGCCGGTCAGCCCGGTGGAGGGGGCGGGGCGGAGACACGCCCCTCCGTAGCCAGCCAGGTGTTCCCCGCGAAAGAGAGGCCACCGCCCTGCCCCGAACCACCCGACCCCGTCCCAACCCCGCGTCCTAAAGCTCCTCCAGCAGAGCCCGGTATTCTTCCTCGCTGAGGGGTGCTTCCAGCGAGGCGGCCTCTTCCGAGGCCTCCAGCTCCCCCGGGGCCTCCGTTTCTAGGAGAGGTTGCGCCTGCTGCAGAAACTCCGGGCTCGCCAGGAGCTCATCCAGCAGCAGGCCGCAGGGGAGTGCAGACCAGGGCGCCGGCTCCTGGAGCGCCTGGGAGGGCGCCGGGATGCCTTGCATCTGCCCCTGCCGCGCGGAGGCGGAGGCGTCCGGGGGCGCGGGCTGGGGAGGTGGAGCTGCCCCGGCTTGGGGTTCCCACGCCGCCCCGGCGACCTGGGGACCCCGGCCCCAGCCCCACCACGGACTCCCCTGGGACGTGGGTGGCGCAAGCACCCCTTGGCCCTGCGGCCCCGCTTGAGCGGGCCCAGGCTGTGCCACCGCGCAGGGGCCCGGCAGGCCGTCGCGCTGCGGGTCCCGGTCCTCCCGGCTTTTGCCCGGGTGCGGAGGCCACCGAGGAGCCTGAGGGTGGGAGAGCGCCCCGTCCGGAGGAGCCGGGGCGGCGTAGGCGAAATCCCCGCGCGCCGGGGCAGGTTGGGAGACCCCCTCTGCCGTCGCGGCCTGGCTGGGCTGCAGCGCGGGGGCGGCCCTCGCTGCCTGGCTCACGAAAGCCCCCTGTGGGAGAGCCCCAGGCGCGCGCATCCCAATGTCTCCCCATCTCCCCTCACACACTTCTGACTTGAGGCACAATAGATTTATAAAAAATGGCATGACAAGGGTCTCCAGAAGTGTGCACAGATTTTCCCAGATCCCCAAAAGCAATGCCAAACTAGTCAGATCATTTATGTTCTCACAAGATTCTGGGAGGATTTTGCCTGCGAGTTCGAATGCACTTTAAGATTCTGGGAGGGAGAGAAAAAGCCTTAGGGGATTGCAGAGTAGAATAAACATAAGACAGGAAATGTTCCTCTGTTACAGCAAGGAAAATAGAAGTAGGCTTTCTGGAAACAGTTTGCACTGGAGCAGAGATGACCACAGTATATTCAAACTCTGGCCTTGTCCGTGACGTTTAATAGGGTTTTTTGTTTTTCTCTTGTAAATTTTTTTTTCATTGGTGCAGAAATTTGATGAAGTCTGGCTTACAGCCTGTCCACTGCAGTTTATTTTTTCACCCAGAACAGTAACTGGGCTAATGAGAAAATGCCCAACTCCCAGTATCTCCTTCAGGAGAGAATTAAAACAGTAGAATATGTGTTGAAATGTTTGGCTTTTTGATAAATTGTCTAATGACTAGATTCTTTCTCTCCTGATGTGGAGTGCTGAAGGACATGATGGAGTCATATAGATGACAGTTTGTGTCTGCTGAGAAGAAAGATGAGTGTTTGCTACAGCACTAGTGAAACTGCAATACCACAGACAGCCAACTGGGGAAGAAAATAGACAATAGAATCTAAAATACATTGAGAAAAAATTCTCTTTAACTTGGAAACACAGCGAAGTCCAGAGAAAATATATTTGGGAATGTGTTTGTGAAGCACCTAGAATCTATAGCCTGGACTATTGCTGTCGGTATCCCCCTTTACTGAGCCAGTCTTTAAATGCTAGATTTGATGAGTGCTGTATAGATCCCCAGATCTCTTTAAAAAAAAAAATCACAAGGCACACAGAGAAGGCAGAAAATATTCCCCATTGGAAGAAAAACATAAATATTCAGAAACTGAATTTTAACAAATAAAGATTTTTGCATATCTGATGGAGAACTTAAAATAATCATCTTATGCATTCTCAGTGAGCAAAACTATAACAGAAAGAGACAACTGAGTGAAATTTAAAAATAACGAATGAGCAAAATATCAACAAAGAGATAAAAACTATTTTTAAAAACCCAACAGAAATCATAGAGTTGAAGAATATAATAACTGAGTTTTATAAATTCACTACAGAGACACAACAGCAAACAATGGAGCAGAAAAAAGAAAATTGAACATATATTATTCACAAATATTGAGTCCTGGAAACTAATATTTTAAAGAATGGGAAAATTACGGGTGAAATATAAGACTTACTGGACACCATCAAGTAGACCAATACATTCAGAGATAGAGTCTTTTAAAAAGAATAGAGGGAGAAAATGGCATAAACATTATTTCAGAGAAAAAGCGGGGATGCTAAGAACTTTCCAGATTTCAAAGCAATGAAAGAAAAAATACTAGCAACCAATAATAATTGATCTGGGAAATACTGTATTTCAAAAATTAGAAAAAAATAAAGACTTTCAAAGATTAAAATAAAAAAGCTGAGGTTGTTAACTACTAGAATAACCCTAGGAAAAAAAATGCTAAAGAGAGTTAATTATGTTGAAAAATTAAATGATGCTGGACAGCATCATAAAACCACATGAAAATATAAAGCTCTCTGTTCAATGTAAATATATACACAGATATACAATTTTCTACTATAATGGTGCATTAAATTCTTAAATCTCTGTGAAAATACAAATCATATATAAAGATACAATTTGTAATGTTAAGAAAGTGACGGAAGTAAAAATGAATATATTTTGTATGTTGTTAAGGTGAAGTTGAAGGCAAAAGCCATTTGCCCTGGGGACCTTAGCAATGGGCAAGGGAGGAGGCAAGGCTGCCATTTTCTCTCCCTCGTTTCTTCCATCTCCCCTTACTCTGCATAGGGATTTTTCTTGGTCTGCAGGAATAGTCAATGGGCCAGGCTCTGTCCTGCGTGCACAAACACACACACACACACAGGTGCAGGTGGGCATGGCATGTATACGCGGAACCTGGGATTTTAATTTTAAAATTTTTAAAAAGTGGGAAACCAAGGATTTTTGGCATGATTCTCAGGACTTTGGGCTGGGGAAAGGGTAAGTCTTTGCTTTCTGCCATGTGGCATGCCATCAGTTGTTGGGGCTTTCTCCCTCAAGGTGTCCCCCAAGGAGATTGTGCAGGAGATTTACCCGGTGCTCATGGTCCGTGAAGACATGTGTCACCGCACCTGCTTCTCACTGCTCCTGGACAGCAACATGCTGGACCACTTCTCAGAGATGTGCAACATTGAGGAGCGGCAGGAGGGCTCAGGGCTGTGTGTGAGGGAAGGCTGTTTTGGAAGTTCGGTGGACTGCCTTGGGGACGGCCCCCAGAAGCAGGGCCAGGAAGCACTTCCCCACTTCTCTGAGGGCTCTGCGTCAGATGAGAGCATGAAGGTGGGATTGGAGCTGCGCTCTGCTTGTCAGGCTGTCACACCAGCACCTTCTAACTTCACAACCCGTGAGTTAAAGAACAGCGTTCTGATTCCAAAAAAAATGAGGCAGTACCAAGCCAGGCTTGATATCAGCCCAACAAAATTCTATAAAGAAAAATAATGTTTAAAAAAAAAGAAAGAAAAGCTTCACAGCCTTTGAGTAGGGAAGTCTGCCCCGTGCAGCACTGCCAACTGCTGAGGTGAGATTGGCATGGTTGTAAAGCAAAAGTTCTCATGCACTCAAGTTACCTGCGGGGAAGCTACTCATGTTCTCAGGGTCTACCTGCTTGTTAAGAGCAATTGTGAAAAAGATCTGTAGCTCAATGTGTCCCATAATTGATCACAGAACCTTTCCTTTTTCCCAAAAGAACCACCATTAAAATATCGTGAAACACACATTGGAAGACAGTGCTGAACTTGTGCATCCTGAAAAGTTCTTAGGACACCCCTGCATGAGGGCTGCCCCTGGACAGCAGGGCAAGGTTGTGGAGGCCCCAGAGCTCTGAAAGCTATGCCTACCCAAGACACTAGTGCACAAAGAGGAAGTGGCCTTGTGGCTCCCCAAGACCTGCCTGTGCTTCAGAGGCATTTGGCAGAAGGTTTCTTGTTAACAAGGATCCTTGCAGGAAGGAGAGAGAGAGAGACAGAAAGAGACATACAGAGAGAGAGACTGTGTGTGTGTGTGTGTGTGTGTTTGTGTGTGTGTGTGTGTGCTGAAACCAGAACTCCACCTTATGTGTTTATTGTGGAATTTGAAAATGAAAGCCTAAAGTTGAAAACTAAAATCACACATGACCGCACCCTGCCAACTATTTACTGTCTGAGAAGGGTCGTTCCAGGGTGTAGGACCCGGGTAACACCCTTTTCCCTTCCTTCCTGAAAGAGCTACACACACTGCTCAAAGCCTGTATCCACATGTTCCATGTCCAAGACGAGCTCAAGAGCCTGGACCCATCTGCCACTTTCAGCAGGGTTAACTGCAGCTGCTTGTTCTTCCTGAGCATCTTCTCCAATGGTGACCTGAGAGTTGAGGGAGGCATTGGCGCCAGGATTGAACAGAGGAAAAGGGAGCACAGACGCCAGGTGGTGAGGACCAGGCCATCTCACCTGGAGGGTTCTGGCCCTGAGACATCCAGACAAGCATCACATTTAGGTGCAGACAGCTGGCCTTGGGTGGCTCTGTGCTTGTCACCGGCCTCGGGTCCCTCAAACAGTGGGAAATGGAAGAATGGCTTGGAAATGGGCCCCATCAACTGTGTGTCACCTGAGCACATTCTCCCAGGGGTCCAGGAGGGGCCATCGTGTCTCCAGAACCAGAACTGGAAGGTCCAACTTCCAGGGGAAGCAAGGAAGAGTGTTCTTAGTGAAGTGGAGGGCCTCACAGCAAGATGCCTGGCTTAATCAAGCTTGGACATGCCTGAAGCATGTTCAGTGACTAAAAGTGCCTACCATGAGCAGCTGGAACCCACTCCCTGAGAGCTTCAAGATGCATGGGTACCTCATGTACCTGTTTGTAATTACAGCCAAGGACCAGCAGGCAGCATTACTGCATCCACATGGGGCTTTTACTGGAACCAGTAAGTCTCTGCCAGCCCCTCACAGGCTCCTGGGATGCCACTCATTCTGCGTCTATGGACAGACAACCAGGACACTTTCTCAGCGCCCACCCACTCCTTGTGGCCCACAGCCCATCACTCAACCCCAGCCCCACCATCCCCTGCTTCCTAAGCCATTCCTCATGCCAGAAGAAAAGGCAATACCTTTGTCCCACAGCCTCTGCCTTGTGTCATGTCATGTGGGCGTATGGAATGAACTGGCCAGCCTAAACTCCAGTGCTTATGCCTGAGGAATCTGTCCCCGCTGTCTGAGTCTCCCTCTAGGGAGCTGTCAGTGGGGGAGAGAGCAGCCCTGGAAGAGAGGCCCACGTGCTTCTGTTTGACTTCAGGGCAGCCTCTCAGGGCAAGAACCCAGAGCAGATGGAGGCCTCACAGAAGCCTGTGGCAGGGCTCTGGGCTTGGTGGCTGAACATCTCCCTCTCTGCTGCCAGCCATGGGGCCCAGAACCACCCATTCATGAGGGTCACCACCACATTGCAGGTGTGCAGCTGGACGGCTCCCCAGGCAGAGCCTGCCATGGACTCCATGCACACAGAGGATGCACACCTTGAGGCTGGACTATGAGGAGAACATTCCTGAAGAGGTGCATGAAGCCTGGTCCTGCCCTCACTGGGAACCCCCTTCCCTCTGGGTACCAGATAGAATTCTATGCACTTTCCTGGAGGCTCCATGCTGGTCTGTTCATTTGGAAGTTTGAGGCTGTCCATGAGGAAGTAACAAAAGAGATATCTCAGAGCAGGTTGTGAGGCACAGGCTGAGCCCTTGCCTAGTCCCTCCCTAGTCCCTTTGCAGAGCCGGGGCTGGAACAAGGACCTGTGGATAATGAGGGAACTGCTCTGCAATAACCGGCCTGAGCAGCTGCTTCAAGAAACAGCCACAATCGAGGCACCTATAGCCTCTGGTGAGTGACTGGCAGCCTCAGGCCCACCTGCCATCTGTGAGCAGGTTTTCTTGCTAACAGAATGAAAGCAAAGAAAGCTGGAATAAGCCCAGCCCTCTCAGGCACCTTGAAGTCTGTTGGGGTTCCTTGCAAAGCCTTCTAGCCTTCTGCTTCTTGGCAGCCCACACAAGCACCTTTTTCCAGCCTCTAAGACTTTGATGCTCTGGAAGGAGAGGGCCCTAGTTTTCACTAGGCTATGGGGCCAGGCCCATCCAGCTCCCTACTTCCACTAACAACCACAGGGCTCTCACCTGGGCACACACTGCCCAGCCATAGCCCTTCTAAGGCAGAAGATCATTTGTCTTGCAGTTTCAGCTTGCTAGGGCTTAAAAGTTATCAGTGCTGTTATTAAGATAGAGAAGTGAGATCATCAGCACAGGTGACAGCACAGCCCGGGCTGCTGGGGAGGCTGAGGGAGAGTGTCCAGCCTATTCTGCCAGCTGGGCCTTGCCAGGGGTGTCTCGTGACCCAGTCCCTTAGAGAAACATGCAGACATCTCAGCAAGGAGCTGGAAGGTGCAGATCAGGGCAGCCCAGCACCACTGATGGTGGAGTGGGGCTACCTCCCATCAAGCTGTGTCTCCACAGCTGACCCGTGGAGCCAGGAGGTGATTTACAACATCTGCAAGGCAGTCAGCCCCATCAGCTCTATGCCCTTCAACATTCACTTCAACTCAAACATCCCACCAGAAAGCAGTGGGGACTGGCCAATGCAGCAGCCCTGCAAAGTGGAACAGATCATCCTGGGGTGGGGAATCTGGGGCCTGCCTGCTCATCTGAGCACTGCTCCCTGGGTGTGTGCTCTGCAGGACCCCTGAAGGAGGGCTGTGAGCTCATCAGGGAGACCCTGAGCCTGTGGAACATGCCTGAGGCCATGTCCATGGGGATTTGTGCCTACTTGCACCTCCTTGCTCATCTCACTACGCTATTGGTGACTGTGCTGAGGTGGGCCTCGAGCATCCCCTGGGCTGTGTCAGCACAGGGCTCTGGGCCTGGCCTGGCATTGAGGGACGGCAAATAAGGGGCCTGGGTTTGCATTGTCACCTCCTGTGGTTCCAGAAAATGAGGAGGTCCAGACCTGCAGTACTGGAACCCTATCAAAGGGGTTAGGAGGCCGCTCACTTTCCCTCAGGGCCCCATGTGGAGGAGCTGAGGGAGGTTAAGGAGACCCTGGGGACTCACTTGTTCTGTCTGGGCTTCCCCCAGCTCCACCCTTTGATAACCATTTTCTGGGAAGAGCTCAGGAACCTCTCGTGCTGTAGTGAGGTGGGGCCTTCCCTCACAGGGTATTGGTGAGGAGGCATTCTGAGACTCTGTGAGTGAGAAGCTAACACAGTGCCTGAGAATACTCATGGGAGCTGTCATCCTCTGTGACCATCACGTGACCTTGTAGTGTTCAGACTGCCTGGCCTGGCCTTGGGCTTGGTAAGGCTGTTTTGGGGTCAGCTGCTTTAGACTCCCACTTTCTCTGCATTCAAACAGTGACTGTTTTAGTGTTTGTCTATGGGTTTAAAAAATCCTAATATTTCATTTATAGTAGTTTCAGCTTGTATGTGTGTATTTGTATAAATTTTATTAGAAGAAAGAGGGCTTAAGGCAACAGCATTTTAAGAAGGTCTTAATGGGGCATAGACTTTTATGTCACAACAGCTAATACTGACCTCTTTTTCTACCTTTGCATAAAGTATACGTAGAAAGTGCAGCCAGAGGTGGTGAGGCTAAGTGTCTAGAGCTGAGCTGCTGGGCTTGCTTGCTGGCCTGCAGTCAGGTGGACTCTGGCTGTGAGGCAGTGCCCACCCTGGATCTACATCCCCCACCCCCTCTCCTTAGTCCCTGAGTAACCAACACAAGGCAGTGCTAATAAGCAGGGGAGTGATGGGCATCGGGAACCCCAATACTATCCGGGAAGATCTGAATGCCATCTGGGCTGGGGCTGTTGGGGGTAGGGGCTGTGGCTGCCTTGGCTTGTCAGGGTGCCACCCACAGATGTGCCTGCCCTGTGCTGCTTCTCCAGCAGCCGGCTGCCTATGGCCCTGAGCCTGTCACACCATGCTTGCTACCTCATGCTACTTGTGTTTGAAAAACCATCCCAAGATGGTGCTGCTGGATGTGAGTGCTGAAAAGGGGGCAGCACCTTTGTCCTGGGGGATTAGGAGCTGACCAGATTCCTCCTGACTCCCTCCCGAAACAAGTGGGGCTGGTGCTGCAATCAATGATGCCCCCCAGAAGATGTGTTTGCACTGGCTGAACAAATACATGATGCAGAGGCCTAAATGAAGACACATGAATGGGGTGTGTAGACATCAGCTAGCAGCTGGGAAACAGGTGTCTCTCAGGCCTCTCATTCTTCAGCAAGTGTGGAATGTGCCCATGCCCTTGAGTGTATACATCTGGAGTGTATACATCTGGCTGTTGCTTTTGCTGCCTCTATCCCCAGGCCCAATCTGGCTTAAAGTCCAGGTTTTAAGTAAAAAAGATAAGAGGATTTTCTGTGTTCTGGGATAGGAAGCCAGGGATCTGTGTAGGG
Organism: Homo sapiens; assembly: GCF_000001405.40. Taxonomy (NCBI): domain Eukaryota; kingdom Metazoa; phylum Chordata; class Mammalia; order Primates; family Hominidae; genus Homo; species Homo sapiens. The sequence continues at coordinate 150,190 of NW_015495301.1, read as the reverse complement.
CTGCAGTTGGGTGCACATTAGTTTTGTGACAGGATGAGAGCTGCAGTGGTTTTATTAATCGTGATAGCCTGGGCTGGTTGTAGCTTCAGGTGAGGGGAGGGAGTCAGCAGTGGTGGTCCCGGAGACATCCATGTGCCCAGCCCTGGCCTTCCTGCCCTCAGGCACAGCAAAAGGCACCGCCACAGGCCCCGACTTCCTTCTCTACTCTCTGCAGCCCAGATGGGAAAACTTGGAGGCTACAATCTGAATATATTTTTCTCCCATTTTAACCCGAGCTGCCTAACACACAGTGGGGGCAGGGTGGGTGAAGGGCCTGGGGGAAAGCAGGGCTGGATCATGGATCCCGGGGGAAATTTAGAGATACAGAAGTGGCTGTCACCTCTCTGTGGAACCCAGCTCCATACCTGGTCCTTGCCACACCGCCCTTTCTACAGAGAATAGCTCTGGGGCGTTTGGGGATCCCTATGGCCCCGGGTGGCTTCCTGTCCCCCGCTGCCTGTGCTGCTTCCCTTGGCTGCTGGCAGAGCCCAACATGAAGGAGGAGGTTGCAGCCCTGGGAGCCTGAGGGAGCTCTTCCCTTGGCTGCTGGCAGAGCCCAACATGGAGGAGGAGGCTGCAGCCCTGGGAGCCTGAGGGAGCTCTTCCCTTGCCTGCTGGCAGAGCCCAACATGGAGGAGGAGGTTGCAGCCCTGGGAGCCTGAGGGAGCTCTTCCCTTGCCTGATGGCAGAGCCCAACATGGAGGAGGAAGTTGCCGCCCTGAGAGCCTGAGGGAGCTGCGTCTGACTGGGGCTTCTGCCTGGGGGTTTGCAAAGAGCTACTTATGAATATAGTCTCTCCAGATTCCTTGTTTCAAAGGAAGTGAGCATGAGCTAGCAAGTGTAGCAACCCCACAGCTGATAAACAACTTTGTCTTGGTTTTAAACCATCACATCTTCATTTCACATTGGAATAAAGTAAGTGAAACCTGCTACCCCAGCCTTGCCCATGTGTTCTGTAACCCAGTCTCCTTTGGTTGTGAGGGCTATTGTCAGAAATGTTATAAGAAAAGATTATGCATAAATTAAATCAAATGTAAAATTATGCTTATAATGTCACTTGAGTGAAAGGTAAGAGGGTAGAGTCACAGGCACTCAGCTGGGGTTTACCCACCCATCACTTACCACACTCATAAGAGTGTGGCACAGGTGAATGTCACTTGACATTGGTGACAGAAGAGAAAAGGCTGGCATGAAGGCCAGGTAGGGGAGAGGTGCCAGGCTGTGGGGCCAGGCCCTGGGCATGCTGGACCTGTGAGGTGACTGAACATCTAACTGCCCAGGCACTGGCCCTTTTCACATCAGTTGAGGTAAGAGGATGGGGGAGCACTCTCTGGAAGTCACACTGCACTGGGAGAATGGAGGAGAGTCTACAACTCACCATCCTAGTGTAGGTTTTAGAGTGAGATGGACTGTCTTGGAGAGCTAATGAAATGGGAGGAAAGCAGTCCCCCAGGTGCATCTGAGGGCCACAGCCTATGAAGTAAGCAGTGTGTGTGGGAGTGGCCTGTCCCTGTGAGAGGAGAAGTTTAAAGTTATTACAGCTGGTGGCTGCTGCTCAGCCATCCCTCTGCAGAGCAGGCAGGTCCTCAGCTGCATGTATATCTGAATGTCTTTTGGAGTGTTTAGAGAGTCCTCTATGTCTTAGAAATTTTGAAAAGAAAAACAAATTTCAATTCTAATGTTTATTAGTTTCCCTGAGCCAACTGGAAAAAAAATGTCCTTCACCTTGAAGTTTTAAGTGACACCCAAGGGTAGCCACCAGTGTCTCAGCCACTGAAGCCTTGTGCATGCTCCCACTACCAGTTTGATTTGCAGCCTCATGGTTGTGTTGTACTAAATGTTCTTTCTTCTGGCCTTGTCCAGTGAAAACGGTTCACATGGCTAACACCACTTCTTGAGATACGGGCACCATGTAAAGCTGAGAATGGATTGGTTTAGTTACTATTGTGCCTCCTCCTCACCCGAGAGGCCCATTTCTCCTGGTTGATTCATTAAGTGTATTAGTGCTGTCAGTCGCCTTTGGACAACTCAAATGACAAGTGGCTGTTGTTTCATAAAATGAAGGCTTTAGATGTGAAACACTCCTTTTCTCTTCTGCTTCTCTTAGGTGAAAGATTTTATTTTTTTAAAAAGGGTACATAGTCGTATCCCAGCAGGTGTAGTGTGATAACTGGCATGTGCTAGGCTATGGTTTCAGTGTGTATGGGCAATTCTTCAAGATGGAAAACCAAGTTTCACTGAGTTGCTGGAGCCGCACTCACCTTTCTCCACATCCCCCACCATGGGCTTTCACTTTTCTCCCGGGCTTGAATTTTTTTCACATCCATATTGTTTATACACACACACACACACACACACACACACACACACACACACACACACATCTGTCTGTCAGTGCAGTGGCTGAATCATGGGTCAGTGCAGCCTCAAACTCTTAGGCTCGAGTGATCCTTTCACATCAGCTTCTCAAATAGCGAGGACTACACTACAGGCATGCAATGCTACACCCAGCCAATTAAAAAAAATTTTTTGTAGAAACTGAGCCTACTTATGTTGCCCAAACTGGTCTTGAACTCATAGGATCCAGCGATCATCCCACCTTGGCCTCCCAAATTGTTTACATTACAGGTGTGAGCTACCAAACTCAGCCAAAAATATTTTTTAAAGAACAGTTACAACCAAATTATGAGTTATGATTGTGCCACTGCCCTCCAGCCTGGGCACCAGAGCAAGACCTTGTATCCAAAAATAAAGCAAAACAAAACAAGAACAAAAAACCTTATAACCAAATTAAACTTCGAAGATTGTGTCATCTGTGTCCCTCTCTGCCCTCCAGTTATCACCGTTAAATATAATGGTTATTGAGAAAACGGTTAGATATTATTAAGAAATTTCTATATCTACTCCAGCTGAGAATAGGTATTCTGATGTGGCCAAAACATTTTCTCACTGCTACCTTCAGGGTCTAAACTAGCAGGCAAAATCAGGACACCTGCAGAGGACAGTTGGCCATTTTCAAATAGAAACAGAAATACCCCCATTAATGAGAGTAATCCAGTGATTTTCAGAAAGACAAGTCAGACTGACATGCAGCACAGTCAGGGCACAATTACCCTGGAATAATCACTTCACACAGAATGGTTGTGGAGCCTTTCTAAGATGAGCAAATATGGGCAACATCATTCTTGCTTATTTATTCCCAGCCCCCGCTGCCCGCCTTATTCTGGCCTGATTCTGGCCCGCCTGATAATGGCCACCCCACAATGTGGTCAGCAGTGAGGTGCAGCGTGGTGAGAGAGGGGCTCAGGGATGGGATGAGGGTCTTTCCTGCATTATGAAAATGCCTAATAAGTTGTTGAAAAGATGTCCAAATGTTCTACTTCCTACCCTTAAATAGCTGCTAAGATGCATGACTCAACAGATCCTGGTAAGGGAAAGAGCATGCGCATTTCAAGTCTCAGCTCACTTCTTAATTAGCTGTGATACTCTGCGCATGTGACCCCAACTATTCGAGCCTGTTTGCCTGTCCACCCAAGACAATCCTAAGCAAAAACAACTGGTAGCTGGAGGCATCATGCTACCAGACTTCAAACTATACTTCAAGGCTACAGTAACCAAAACACCACGGTACTGGTACCAAAACAGATATATAGACCAATGGAACAGAACAAAGACCTCAGAAATAACACCACACATCTACAACCATCTGATCTTCGACAAGCCTGACAAAAACAAGCAATGGGGAAAGATTTTCTATTTAACAAATGGTGCTGAAAAAACTGGCTAGCCATATGCAGAAAACAGAAACTGCACCCCTTCCTTACACCTTAAACATTATCTCAAGATGGATTAAAGTCTTAAATGTAAAACCCCAAACCATAAAAACCCTAGAAGAAAACCTAGGCAATACCATTCAGGACATAGGTATGAGCAAAGACTTCATGACTAAAATACCAAAAGCAATTGCAACAAAAGCCAAAATTGACAAATGAGATCTAATTAAAGAGCTTCTGCACAGCAAAAGAAGCTATCATCAGAGTGAAAGGCAACCTACAGAATGAGAAAATTTTTGCAATCTATCCATCTGACAAAGGTCTAACATCTGGAATCTACAAGGAACTCAAATGAATTCACAAGAAAAAAAAAACCATCAAAAAGTGGGCAGAGGATATGAACAGACTCTTCTCAAAAGAAGATATTTGACTGAGTGTGGTGGCTCACACCTGTAATCCCAGCACTTTGGAACGTGGAGGCAGGTGGATCATGAGGTCAGGAGTTTGAGACCAGCCTGGCCAACATGCTGAAATCTTGTCTCTACTGAAAACACAAAAAATTAGCCAGACATATTGGCAGGTGCCTGTAATCCCAGCTTCTTGGGAGGCTGAAGCAGGAGAATCACTTGAACCCGGGAAACAGATGTTGCAGTGAGCCAAGATCCTGCCACTGCATTCCAGCCTGGGTGACAGAGCAAGACTTCGTCTCAAAGAAGAAGAAGAAGAAGGAGAAGAAGGAGAAGAAGAAGACATTTATGTGGCCAAAAAATATTTTAAAAAATCTCATCATCACTGGTTATTAGAGAAAGGCAAATCAAAACCACAATGAGATACCATCTCACACCAGTTGGAATGGCAATTATTAAAAAGTCAGGAAACAACAGATGCTGGTGAGGCTGTGGAGAAACAGAAACGTTTTTACACTGCTGGAGGGAGGGTAAATTAGTTCAACCATTGTGGAAGACAGTGTGGTGATTCCTCAAGGATCTACAAGCAGAAATACCATTTGACCCAGCAATCCCATTACTGGGTATATATCCAAAGGAATATAAATCATTCTACTATAAAGACACATGCACATTTACGTTTATTGCAGCACTGTTTACAATAGCAAAGACTTGGAACCAACCCAAATGCCCATCAATGATAGACTGGAAAAAGAAAATGTGGCACATATACACCATGGAATACTATGCAGCCATAAAAAAGAATAAGTTCATGTCCTTTGCAGGGACGTGAGTGAAGCTGGAAACCATTATCCTCAGCAAACTAACACAGGGAACAGGAAACCAAACACCATATGTTCTCACTCATATGTGGGAGTTGAACAATGAGAACAGATGTACACCGGAAGGAAACATCACACGCTGGGGCCTGTTAGGGGGTTGGGGTCAAGGGGAGGGAGAGCATTAGGACAAATATCTAATGCACGTGGGGCTTAAAACCTAAATGGCAGGTTGACAGGTGCAGAAAACCACCATGGCACATGTAAACCTCTGTAACAAACCTGCACGTTCTGCACATGTATCCCAAAACTTAAAGTAAAACAAAGAAACAAACAAAAATGCACTAACGCTCAGGGTGAGTGGGGCAGGGGCCGGGGTGGGGTGCGGATGGGTGGGTCCTGGCGTTTTATTCAATCAGTGGCGCTGGTGTGGGAACCACCCAATCGGGCGCACAGTTTGAGAAGAGAGGAGGGCGTGGCTTCCGGCGTTTGGCGGGGCCTTTGTCTCTCGCTGGTGCTGGTGCAGGAGCTTGGGATCCATCTCCTCTTTCGCCTCCTCCACCTTGGGAAATCCAGACAACTCCCTCACAGCCCCTGTTGCCCTGTGATCTGTAGGTCCTTGGGGACACACAGTTAAGGTGCTGTTACCATGGGGTGGTCTTTGCTCCCAGAGCGCCCAAGATGGTGGCGGGCCACTTCCATAATTTTGGCAGGCCACTTCCAAGATGGTGGCAAGCCTCCTGTTCTCTGACCTGGGGCTCTTGGCCTCACGGATTCCAAGGAATGGAATCTTGAGCCATGCGGTGAGTGTTATAGCTCTATTAGAAGCTGTGGGTCACGGAAGAGAACCGTGGAACCCAGTGACTAGTGTTCAGCTTGATTAGGATGAACCCAGGCGCTTAGCTGTGCAGGAACAATGGCAAGCCTTCAGCCCGATCGGGAGTGGCAATGGATGCCTCGCTGGATCAGGAGCAGAGCGGACACCTTGCTAGCCAGGATGGTCTTGATCTCCTGACCTTGTGATCCGCCCGCCTCGGCCTCCCAAAGTGCTGGGATTACAGGTGTGAGCCATCGTGCCCAGCCAAGAACTGTCTTCACAACAACTGGTGCTGGGGAAATTAGGTACCCACATGTAAAAGAATGAACCTGTGCCCTTCACTTATACTGTAAGAAAAAATTAACTAACTGGATCAAATACCTAAATGTAAGAGCTAAAACTACAAAATTCTTAGAATAAAATATAGGGGAAACACGTCATAACACTGGATTTGGCAGTTTTTTTTTTTTAAACAGGACACCCACAACACAAGAAACAAAAGAAAAATAGACGAATAGGAATCTATCCAGAATATGCAAAGAACAATTCAGCAACAATAAAACAAACTACTTGTTTAAAATATTGGCAAAAACTTAAGCAGACATTTCTCTAAAAATTATGTAAAGTAGCTAATAAGCACATGAAAAGACACTCAACAAAACTCATCATTAGTGAAATGCAAATCTAACCCCAAATGACATATCACTTAATACCCATCAGCATAGCTACTACCAAAAGAAAAAAAAAAACAGAAAATCCGAAGTGTTGGTGAGGACGTGGAGCAATTAGAATCCTTGTACACTGTTGGTGGAAATGTAAAATGCTGCAGCTGCTATAAAATAACAACACAGTAACTAAAAAATTTACACATAAAATCACCATACGATCCAGCAATTTCACATCTGGGTATGCAGCAAAAGATATGAAAGCAAAGACACAAAATAATATACATACACCTAGGTTCATAGCAGCATTACTCACATCACCAAAAAGGTGTTTGAATTACTCAAGTGTTGTTTGAATTACCATCAATGATTAATAGATAAAATGTGATTTATACATAGAGTGGAATGTTATTCAGTTATGTAAAATAAGGAAATTCTGACACATGGTACGTCATGCATGAACCTTAAGGACATTGTGCAAAGTGACATGAGCCAGTCATAAAAGGACAAATACTGAATCATTCCACTTATGAGATACTTAGAGTAGTTAAATTCTAGAAACCCAAATAGAAGAGTAGTTCTTAGGAGCTAGAGGGGGAGTAACAAGGAGCTTATTTAATGGGTATAGAGTTTTGTTTCTGCAAGTTGAAAGAAGGTCCCTATGAGTGGTAATGACAGTTGCAAAACAATGTGAAAGTAGTTAATTTTTCTGAGCTGCACACTTAAAATAGCTAAAATGGTTAATTTTATGTATACTTTACCACAATGTAAAAAATAATTTTAAAATAAACTATAGCTATCTGCAATATCATGAATTAATATCATAAATATAATGTTGCATAGAAGAAAGTAGATGTAAAAGTATACATATTACACAATCTCACTGTTATAAAATCCAAAAAGTGAACACAACTGAGCTTCTGGCTTCCAGTAATAATGAAGTAAAGTAGTTTGTTGAACACTTCACAGATAACTATAACAAAGCTCTTTGGTCACAGGGCTGCAGCACTGCAATCCCAGCATGCACCAGGCTCAGGGAGAGTGCGCTAATCACTGGAGGAAGGGACGAGGCTCCGCGCCTCTCGCTGGTCTTGCTGGGAGATGCAGTCTCATAAACACTCCCAGCCCTTTGGTCACAGGGCTGCAGCACTACAATCCTAGCATGCACCGGGCTCCGGGAAAGTGCGCGTCACCGGAGGAAGAGGCAGGGCTGTGCGCGCCTCCCTAGGATTGTTGGAAGATGCATTCTCATAAACACTCCCAACCCTTTGGTCAAAGGGCTACAGGACTACAATCCCAGCATGCACCAGGCTCCAGGGCGAGGCGCAGCCCTGGAAGAAGGGGCAGAGTGGTACCCGCCCCACCTAATATGCTGGGAGCTGTAGTCCGTTACCTACTCTCAGCCTGTTTGTCGGTAAGCTTCAGAGCTATAATCCCAGCATGTACCGGGATCCGGGGTCCATAGCCCTGGAGGGAGGGGCAGAGCGGTGTGGACTTCCCGGTGTCCAAAGCACTGCTGAGTTCTGATGCTATGCCGACTCTTTGCAAGGAGAGTGAGTACAGAGGTGCACCTGGAGGGCAGGTCTGGGCTGAGCAGTGAGGAGGGTATTACCCTACAAAGATACCTTACCTTTTCCCAAATCGGGCGGGTTGTCCTCACCCGCTTGGCCCTATCCTTCTCAGGTTCCTCTTTCAGTTGCACCCAGGGTTCTTTCCAGAGGAGTACGTCTTCTGCAGCCCAGGGTGCTGCCTTCTTTCCTAAACTGCGTGAGAACTTTCCTGATGTCCAAGACACTGTCATTGTGCCGCAGCCCTCTTTTTTCTCTAGCCAGAGCACGCACTCAACCGTTTTTGAGAGAAATCTTCCACCTGGCCTGCTTGTGAGCAGCTTCAGAGCTCTGCAGGGGTGACAAGGGCTGTGGCTTCTTGGAAAGGTCACTTTCAATGGCGCCTTTTTCACGAATGTGAAAGTCTAGGCATCAGAAAGGTTAATTATTGGGTTGCATAAAATCTGCTAAGAGCAAAGGAAAAAACCCCATTTCTGAGGCGTGAGTCTTGTGAGCCATTTTCATCAACCCACTTAAGTGGACAAGCTCCAAAATGCAACCTGAAGCTACTGAGTATTTAGGCATTTTACACTTGAAATCATTGGTCTCATCTCAAGTCAGGCCTGGCTTGCCAGTGGCTCAGAGCCACAAATGGGACCTGATACCTCAGGAACAGATAGTGTTCCAGCTTTACCGGAGGAACTTTTAAGACGTGGAGCACTTGGGGTCATTTGAAACCCGCTATCTTCAGTAGGGACTTTTAATTCTACAGAGCATGTGCATTTTGATTTTATGTGTCCTCAAGCTGACCCTTTGTTCATTTTAATAGTAAAAAACACATTCCTGGGTGGAGATTTAAGATGCTAGTGAGGCATGCAATGTATGCACAAATATGTACAGCTACTGCACATGTATAACCAGAAGACCAGTCAGAACATGCTTACCGTAACACTTCTTTCCACCTTCTTATGAAATAATCATGCAAAACTCCCATAAAGAGGGTTTCTCCAGCAATAATTAATGCTGTCTCACTTTTATGAGCAGGCTGCCCTGGAATCTCTTTCTCAGACTGTACCGTCTATTCTGCACTTAATTTTCAAAATATTCTTTTTTTTGCAATAAATTATGCTGTACTTCTTTTGCTGTGTGTCTCTTGTTTAAATTATTTTAAACTAAGAAGATAAGAACCAAGGTATTACATCAGCCATCAACATTTCTGGTGCCATGACCTGCGGAGACGTTTGTCTGCTTCATTAATTTCAGTTTCCCTTTACTTGCAGTGAATACTATGGCAGTTTCAGACTACCTGGTTAACTATCGCTGCTGGTTCCAGCGCTGTTCCAGTAAAGTTCTGGGGGAAACGTTTTTAAGTCACCCGCATTCTTTAGAGAGAGAATATATGTCCGCTCTCCTTTTCTCTGCGGCTTCTGTAGTATCGATAAATACGCTAACCACATGGGTTGCCCTCAACATTTCATATTTGGGCTATTTGCCGCTCAGTTTCACATCTTTCTGGCCACAGTTTAGACTCAGCTTGTCGTTTGCTGTCCGTTCAGCAATACTCGATCGCCACCTAGTGGCTATTGTAATTTATTTTCTGGTCAGGTTTTCTGTTTACAAAATTTTTGTTTTGTTTTGAGCAGCACATTAAGAGAACACTGTCCCTTCAGGCTTTATGCATTTCCCAGCTCCTTGAAATTGTTCTTCAACCGGCTTTCTTTGCTGAACAAAAGATGCACAGTCAAGCAGATGCCAAGTCGTAGGGATTGCATCTGAGCATTCCAGGTGTTGTAACTGGGCATCACAAATGGCAAACCAGTGAATTAGAGCAAGGCTTGTCAGCCAGACATCTGCCCCCCAGCCCGCAGTGGGGGTCATCTCCGTAGGGCTGGAGATGTCCACCGCTGGGGGAGCTAGGACGGTGTATGGCAAATGCCTATGACCTCCTAGAGCTTCAGTTAATGGGGTTTCGAGGGGATGCGCTGGACCCCTTGGTGTTTTCACTTGGCTCATGAGGACGCCCACAGCCTCCTGGACTTCAGTAAATGTTCTGTCATTGCAGGATTCTCTCGGCACCATGGGAGCCGCTTCCTCTACTGTCACTGAAACACCCCTGGGATGTATATCTAAAAATTAGAACAGCTTTTGGCTAAATGAACTTAGAAAAAAGAAAACCTTATCTTCTTTTGTAATACTATTTAGCCTGCCTACAGATTAGCTGACAAAACATGGCTGGAGAATGAGACTGTGAGCTTTAACTCCATCCTACAGCTAGATCTTTTCTGTAGCAATCAGGGAAAATGGTCTGAAGTACCCTATGTGCAAGCCGTTCTGGCCTGACAACAAAATCCAGCTCTACGCAGCACCTGTGGGCTAAAGCCTAGTAAGCCAGAAAGCCCCTCAGAACAATTGGAAGATCATCTCTTATTAAGGGGAAGGGACCCCAGACCCCACAGCCCAACACCAGCTCCAGACAGGGGCACTCAGGGGTCCACACCTCCTTTAGAATCCCCAGCATCCCCACACTATCAGAGTCTTCTGTAGAATCTAAGCTTGTTTCACCTCCTCCTTATGCTCCTTTCTATCGGCCTTTGCCAGGTACAATAGAGACCAGCCCAGCTGCAGTTACTCACAGTGGGACTTCACACCATCCAGGGCCAGAGAAATTTCTCCCCTTACAGAAAGTCCCAAATGGAGAGAGGACCATCAGAGTGCTTGTTCTACTCTCAATAAATAATCTAATCCAATATAAGCAACAACTCTGATGGCCCTCAGACAACTTCAGCGCATTTACTGAAGGCTTCCAGGCTCTAACTTTGACCACCATTCAACTGTACCGTCCATAAATGGACCGAATGACTGCTGCCAACTTAGCTGCACAAAATTTTGCTTATTAGCAAAAAATAGAAAATACTTAAAACGTTTGTTGCTTTCACCATTTTAATGCAAAATACTTTTGCAGCATAAATGTCACCATAAGGTGGAGCCTTGGGAATCCAGTATAAACTATCTCAGAAAACCTCAATGGGTCTGCAACAAGCAGCAGAGGGCCTCAATAGACTTCAACAATGTCTGGACTCCATGGCCACTGTAGTCCGACAAAAGCAAAAAGCCTGGGATCTTCTCCCAGCCGGGCAAAGAGGAACATGTTTATATCTAAAAGAAGAATGCTGTTTTTGAGATCAATCAGCCCGGTTTAGTCCAAGAAAATATTAAAAATATCATCACCCAGGCAGACAAAATTGAATCTCTATGAACTTCCATGGGACCATGAAAGCAATGTCTATTACCTGCCTTACTCTCTTTAATAGTAACAGCCATTACTATACTTTCAGCTTTTACTTTTGTTCCAATTTTGTTTAAAATGTTAACTGATTTCTTGCTCTCTTGCTTACGGCAACTCCATGTTTGCATGATGGTTTTGCAAGGCTTTCAACATTTGGCTGCCAACATCTTGCCCACTGGTTCCACGAATTACATGGTTTACACCCAGTTAGATCACACAGGAAGAAACTTTAGGGCCCAGACTAGGTAGAAATAACACCCACTCAGCAGGAAACAGCTCCAGAAAAAGTGACCTAGCCCCTCAACCTCCAATATGATTATGACCCTAAGATCTCTTAGGGGGAAACTGAGGCAGAATAGATCAGAATAGATAGTCAAGAAAATGACCATGATCTCGGGATACAGAAATGTGGGGAAATTATAAATAGAACTACCATATGATGCAGCAATCTCATTGCTGGGTTTATATCAAAAGGAAACAAAATAAGCATGTCAAAAAAGATAACTGCACTCTCATGTTTATTAAGCAGTATTCAAAATAACCCAAACCACTATTTCTTCTAAGTATTTCTAAATTTACCTTTTTTTCATATATTACACCCTAAACTTTTAAAGGTTTCATGTCTGGTTTCCAATTTCTGAAACTTACAAGTCACTGATTCTTTGTTGCCTTCCTATTTAGAGTCTGGTAAAACAATTAAATGCTTTTTATTTCTTCTCAATCTAATCTTCATATATAAATATATTTATATTTTCTATTAATTTGCCTTCTATAACATATATGACTACATTAATTGTGATCAGCATTTCACTTTACTAGCCCTCTTTTTGGCTCAGCCTATTTTAATATGTAATTTGTATGTTGTACATTAAATTGTTTTACAACCCTTTCAATACTTTCTTTTCATTTGCCTCTTTTCCAAAGATAGCTTGACAAGCTCGTAGTTTCTTTCCACATTATTTTGGTTTCTTGTTTTTCCATTATATTGACTTAAACATTTAAATATAAATTCAATATCTGAGATTTATGTGCCATATAATTTCTTCTGATGCTTCACCCCAGTAGCTCATCTCCTTGTGTGCGACATAATTTATAATTTAATCCTCACATATGGGAGACACCGCATTCCAATGCCTGCAGGCAGTTTCTCTTTGTTTATTCCATTTGCCTTGTCAGAAGGGAACAACCCACACGGACCTGACATTCTTGTAATCAGGCACATCTGAGTGGAGCCCTGGTCTCTTAGGTTGATTACTTCTCTGGATCATTACCTTTATTTACTTCCAGTCCTGGGAGGTTTTCTTAATTTCCTTTCAACTATATTAGGCATTCTGTGAATTCTTGTAACTTCTTGGTGATTTTAATTGTCTGCATTAAGTGTTTAAAGTATATTATTTTTCTGAAAAGCAGAAATATCAATAATTGCATATATGAGTGAAATATTTTACATAGATTTTCTATGGCATCTATCACCATGAGAAATTCCAAGTTTTTTTCATTTGAAACACCCCTCTCATCAATAGACCATATTGTAATAATTTGTAGAGTGTGATTACTTTTATACCATTAGAAAATTAATTATATATTATGTACATATTTTTGAAATACTCCACTGCAATAAATAGTATATGGTCAGAAGTATTGTTTTCTCTAACCTAAAACTAATATGAGTAAAATTATCTACCTGAATTCAGACCTTTTGGCTTCAATGGCCATTCTGTCTCATTAGCACTTCCCTGATCCATAAAAGACATCATTCGTACTTTCTGCTTAATTCATAATTTATTGAAATGAGTAATTTAATGTTATAATGTTTTATGGCAATTTAGGACATTTTCAATAAATATATTGAGCTCAAGGCCCTGGCTAAGTATTCCTTTTGTACTCAAAATCAGATTTTTCTGGCACAACTTCATTGCCTGCAATGGTATTTATAAAAAGTATGAATGCCAGCACATGGACTATTTCAATACTGTACTCATTTTTTCATGTATAAACATTTCATTAGCTATGAAACAAACCAAATACAAATGCTGAATGTACAGTATATATCAACAAATGCAGATTCTTCACCTAAGAAAACAATAAAAGACGAATTTTCTGTGACATGTCACCTGTTCATTAGTTCTTTAATATGATTTAGGCTATTCCAAATATAAGAAAATGTATGCATCACTATTTATGTTGTCTCAACATTTTTTATCTAGGTCCTGAAGGACATAAAAAAGAATGTATATTGTCAGATTTATTTTTATAGATTTTAGATGTTTCTTTTGCTGTATTTTCTGTGCATACTACTATGAATATATGGAGACAAGGACAAATGAGCATTTAAGTGGTTATATGAATTTTGCTTATATGGCTAATTGCTTATATGGATGTTGTAAATGACAAGATAAAATAGTAAAGTTTGGTAAACTTATCTGTGCCCTGTGAACTTTAGTTCACTTACTGTATAACTTAATTCAGTCACTAATAATTAATTTAAAAAGTGTTTTTTAAAAACTGCAAACCACATTTTATTACACATTTCTGAATCAGGAAGGGGTAAACTGTGACACAGCTTTCTCATGCCACTGACTTTTTTGGGGAGAAACATTCTGCAATAAAATAAGAGTTTCCAAACTCTATTTATAAAAAAGCTTGAGTTTTCTTCTGTGATTAACCTTCACTCCTCAGTCCCTTTTACCCAAGGAATGGTTCCTAGGTCATCTTTTGGAAGTTTAGTTTCTGGAAAGTTTTCGGCAAACCTCTCCTGAGCTTTGTCCCAGTTGTTGTTGTTCTTGTTTTGGAGAAGGTGAGTCTCTTTAATTGAGGATGGTTTGTCTGTCTCCAATCCTGCATGTGTTTGCCAAGGCTGAAGCTGTACTGGAGTTTTTATTCTCCCACCATCCTTCCCCAGGCCTTCTCCTGTTTTCAACACATCTTTTTCAACATCTTCTGACCTTTGTCGCTATCAGTAATTTCAGAATGAACAGATGCAGGAGCATCATCTCTTTGGAAATTTCCTTCACTTCCAATCTGCTCCCTATGTTTTCCAGCTCTATCTTTATATTTTTGATTCTCCAGTATCTTATCATCTTTGTAGTCTGTATTCTGTAAACCATATTTTACTCGTATATTTTTAAAATCCTTTTCTTCTTTCCAACTCGTTTCCTTCTTAGTTAATGATGGACCAACAAATGATTCATCTTTCTTGTCAAGGAAAAGGTGAGCTCTAACCTGCCCTGGTTCACATCCAACACAGCTATTACTGCCAGGGTGAATGTAATAAGATAACACAGTGTCTCCAACTTTCACTTTATCTCCATGCTCAGGTTCATAAGGGTCACATTTAGTTTTCAGCTGAACAATCCATTTTACATTAACAATTGTTCCATTTTGACTGTCTGATCCAAAAGGACATAACTTTGTAAGTCAAGATCAAAATAGATTTCTGCATGAAACTTACACCAACTTCAGGGATTTGAAGAGTATGCTCCATATCATTTTCTCTTCCAATTGTAGCAGGTTTTGCAGCAGTAATGATGAAGAATGATCCTGTCTGTAGCACAGGTGATCTAATGACAATCACTCTCATATATGAGGCCACACTTTTTCCTCATCTTCCTCCTCAGTATCTTTTGCAGTTGCATTGCCTTTACTGGTAATGCCTTCATCATAACTACCCTCGGTCTGAGAGTCTGTAATTTCACCTTCTTCTGGTTCACTATCAGTCTCTGTGATTTTCTCATCCTTAAAGATGAATTGAGATGTTTTCATTAAAAGGAGATTCCATAGGATTTCCACTAACTGGAACAGTGAATTTTGGGGATTATTTTTGTGATGAATGCCTATTTTGGCTTTTTTTTTTCACATTTGTGAAATTGTCTTTCCCGTTGCAGCTTGTATGTTCAACACTGAAGGCTTCTTGATCCTCTGAATTCAAATCCTTTTCCTCATCGTTTTTTTGTAGAAGAATCCTTTCTTTTCTCAATTTTTCGTTTTTGTTTCGTGCTATAAGTCTGATAAGGTTGCAAATCTACTCGAGAATGAAATCGATAGCGACCACTTTCCACATCACAGTGGTAATAAATTAAATCATAATATATTTGATTCTCAGAATCTTAATAGAAACCAGTGCTGTGGTCAAAATACAGTCCAGTATTTTCATCATCACTAAATCCAGTCTGTGACAAAGCCGCTTCTGCTGCAGCTCTCAAACTTCCAGCTAATGACGAACCTTCTAAGGACGTATCTTGTGCTGCTAATGCAGATGCTGGCTCCTGTGAATTGGAGGCAGATGACCCTCTTGTCTACACTTAACATTTGCTGTCCTATCAGTACCAGGGTGAGTGTCATTTTCTACTTATAACTGGTCGTTAGAATTCAAAGCAGGACTTTCAATATCCTGATCTTGCTGATTTGACAGTTCAGTCACTCACTTTATTTGGAAGACTAACATCATTAGGGTAGGTCTGATAATAATAATCTGAGATTGACCAAGGAGCATGGTTCTCTGCGAGTACTTCTACATCAGACTTTTATTACCTCCATGTCTCCCACAGCGGAGTACGTTACTGAGTTCTTCCAGCTGCGTGCGGAGCTCCTGGCGGTTGCTCGTGTCGCTCTGAGCAGCCGTCCTGGGCGAGGCCATAGCTTCTCCCGTTCCCGCACCTGCCGCCTGCAGCTCCGCGTTCGGGTTCCAGCTTCTCCGCCCTCCTTCTCCGCTGGGCCAGCTCGGGCTCGGGGAGGGGGAGGAGCGGCCACAGCGAAGGCGCTGGCGGCGGCTACGGGCAGAGGCCGCGAGTTCGGGACCAGACGGCTGCGTTCTCGGAGGGGCTGCGCGGGGCCGGAGCGGGGGCCGGCGGAGCCACAGCCCCGGGGGCGCGCGGGCAGCCACAGGCAGCCTCCCCGGCCAGGAGGCCCCGAAACGCGGAGCCTGACGGGGCTGCGGCAAGAGCAGGGGGACGGCGATGGCCCTGCCGGATCTGCGTGCCTGGAATCCGGGGAACGACTGCGCCTTCCCCAGCCCCGGGGGCGCGGGAGGAGCGTCGAAGTCCAGGGGCCGGAAGCGCTCCGGCCGTTCCCGAGTTGAGCTGCGAACAGCGGCCAAGCGTGTTTTAAATCGAGCTTCCGTGTGGCGAGCTATGACCTGCTGGTTACTCTTATTTTTTTTCTCCATTCGTTGAGCTATGATTGACAAATTGAAAAGTGTGTATTTTTAGGGTGTACAATAGAGTGTTTTGAGATGTCAGTGGTCTTTAAATCACCTCAGTTAAGCTAGTTAGCCTGTCTATCCCCTCACATAGTGAATACGCCTCTGTGTGTGGTGAGAGCACCTGAGATCTACTCTTGCAGCAAATTTCAAGTACACAGTATTGTTAACTATAGTCACTATTCTGTACGTTAGGTCCCCAGCAGTTACTCACCTTGTAACTGAAGGTGCGCCCCTTCCATGGAAATCTCCCCACTTTCCCCACTTCCTAGCCCATGGGAACCAGCGTTCTACTGTTTCCATGGCTTTTTTAAATTTTTATTTACTTTTTTAGATTTTACATACAAACGAGATCATGCAGTAGTTGTCTTTCTGTATTCAGCTTATTTCACTTAGCATAATGTCTTCAAGATTTATCAATATTGTTGTGGATGAAAGAGTTTCATTTTTATTAAAGCTGAAATTATGTCTCTCAGTTTATCTGTATCAGAGGAATGCAGATACCCTTGATGATCCTGATTTTATGTCCTTTGGCTATATACTCCTAATTGGGATTAATGGTAGTTCTAGTTTAACAATTTTAAGGAACCTCCATACTGTTTTTCATAATAGCTGCACCAATTGACATCCTCAGCAACAGTGCACAAGTGTTCTCTTTTTCCACACCCTAACACTTTTTATCTTTTGACTTTTTGATAATAGGTATCCAAACACCACGATAAGGTGATACCTCATTGTGATTTTAATTACTGTGATAATTAGTGATGTTGAGCATTTTTTATATACCTGCTGGCCATTTGTATATCTTTGGAAAAATTGCTATTTATATATTTTGCCCAATTATTAATCAAGAAATTGCTTTTAATTCTGCTGTGGGTTTTTTGTATTGATTACTATGACATATATTTTGGATAGTAACATATTATCCTACATATGGTTTACAAATATTTTCTCCCATTCCATATAATGCCTTTATATTTTGCTGATTGTTTCCTTTATTGTGCAGAAAATTTTTACTTTGACATAGTTCCACTTGTTTATTTTTGCTTTTGTTGACTGCGCTCCTGGTGTCAAATCCGAAACATCATTGCCATGACCAGTGTCAAGGAGGCTTTTCCCCATTTTTTTTTTTAGAGGATTCATGATTTCAGTTCTTATGTTTAAGTCTTTATTTCATTTCAAATTCATTTTGTGATGACATGAGAGAAAGGTTTACTTTTTGTCTGTGCATATCGAGTTTTTCCTACACCACTCCTTGATGTGTTTATCCTTTCTCCATTCTGTGGGATTGGTCGAATGTATATTTGTGAGTTTATTTCTGGGTCCTCTATTCTGTTCTATTGGTTTTTATGTAGGTACTATACTGTATTAATGACTACAGCTTTGTAATATAGTTTGAAATCAGGAAGTGTGAGGCTTTCAGCCTTTTTGTTCTTCTCAGTATTTGGCTATTTGAGGTCTTTTGTGGTTCCATACTAATTTTAAAATTGTCGTTCTACATTTTAATAAAATGGCATTAAAATTTTGATAAAAATTTAACTCTGTAGATCACTTTGTGTAGTATGGATATTTTAACAATATTAATTTTTAGAATCCATGAACACATATTTCCCATTTTGTATTCTTCATTTTCTTTCCTCAACATTTTATAGTTTTCAGTATGCAGATCTTTCATATTCTTTGTTAACTCATTCCTAAGTATTTCATTCTATTTGATAATATTGTAAATGGAACTATCTTTATTCCTGTTTCAGATATTTTGTTGTTACTGTAAAAAAAATGCAACTGATGTTCATATGTTAATATTGTATCCTGAGAATTTACTGACTTAGTTGGTTAGTTATAACAGGTTTTTTTTTTTCTGGTAAAATGGTGGTTATTCTGAATTCTGGTTAAACTTTAAATTGATAATTGCTATTATCATTTCAAAATTATTTAAAATATGACCAGATGGATTCCTGCTTTCATGAATTCAATGGAATTCAAATCTTCCCATTTAAAATAATTTTGTCTGGTTGACCTAGACCCCGGGGATCGGGGGCACCCCGTGGGAGCCCGGAGATTCGCCTGGGGGTGGGAGGGAGAAGCCGTCAGAGAGGGGGCTGAGCTGGGGAAGCAGAGAGGGGCTCGGGGACAGCCGGGAGGAGAGAGGGTCGTGTCGGAGACCCAGTGGGGAGAGAGAATGGGCCGGAAAAGGAGGAAGGGTGAGAGTGGGCAACAGGACGGCTTCCCGGCGCGGCAGGGAACTTTGCTGAAACTGCGGGCCCCAGGGAACAGCGCGGGCAGGGTGGGAGGGAGTGGAGAGGACCCAGCAGACCCGAAGGTCAGTGTGGAGAAAGGGACGTTTCCCGGTTCCTTCGCCTCTGCCCAGCGTTCTGCGGGCGTGGCCCCCTCCAGGGGCAGGGGAGGAGGTGGCTCCCGGCGGGCTCGGAGAACTAAGGGGCGCACACCCGCTTCGCAGGGCCGGGGTGACAGGGGAAGCCTGAGACGGCTGCGGATCTCGCTGGCCCCGTGGGTGGGCGCGGGGGACGCGGGAGGGGCCGAGCTCACGGGGCCAGCGCCGGGGCCTGCAGGTGGCCCTGGAGGAATCTGCAAGCACCCGCCCGTGCAGCGGGCCTTCCGGGAGACCAGTGTGGACAGCGCCCTGGACACGCCCTTCCCAGCTGGAACATCTGTGAGGCTGGAATTTAAGCTCCGGCAGACAGGGAAGCGGCTGGAGGAAGGCCTGGAAGAAACCCAAGTGCAAAGCCCAGCCCGAGAGGAGGAAGCAGAAATGCCTGACCTGCGTCAAAATGGACTGTGAGGATAAGGTTCTGGGCAGGATGGTTCGCTGCCCTCCAGAGACGCAGACTCGGCGGGAGCCTGAGGAGCACCAGGGGGCCGGGTGCAGCCCGGCGGAGCGGGCGGTGAGGACCCCACGGCTGCCGCTTCCCTGCACGGTTCGCCTCCTCCAAGGCCCGGCCCCCAGCGGAGCCCAGCGCTGAATCGCATGGCGCCCCCTGGAGCCCTGGCGGGGAAAACCAGTGGAAGACCCACCTCCCAGGGAGAGGACCCCACTGTATCCCCAGATAATAAAACTGTCCTCTCCCCCAAAAAATAAATAAATAATTTTGTCTGGTCTTTGAAAATGTGTATCCCCTGTGTACTGGTCAAAATGCTGCCCATTTATCTATATGCCTAATTAGCCAACTTTTTAATGAAGTTATTTAACATTCTTTTTTATTATGAAACAAAACAGTAAATTTGTTAATGGTTTTAATATCATCTAATATGATTGAAAATATGTCAATTTTTCATTGCCAAAGAATCTTTGTGTTATTTATTTTACTCTGTTATGTATTCTGTCCATAAAGGTCTAAGTGGCTTAGAATCTTGCCTAACATATTGTATGTGCTAAGTACTAACTACTCTAATTCATCAAATTATCTTTCTATACCATTCTTAAAATACAATATTATTTTCTATTTATTTTTATTAAAATTTTTTGCCTAATCTAATTATTTATGAAAATTATGAGGTCTATTCAGTTTGTCCTCTTGATAAAAGCCAAAGTTTTTTTTTTTCTCTCTTTTTTTTTTTTTGAGACGGAGTCTCCCTCTGTTCCCCAGGCTGGAGTGCAGTGACACAATCTCGGCTCACCACAACCTCCGC
Organism: Homo sapiens; assembly: GCF_000001405.40. Lineage (NCBI taxonomy): Eukaryota > Metazoa > Chordata > Mammalia > Primates > Hominidae > Homo > Homo sapiens. The sequence continues at coordinate 129,990 of NW_015495301.1, read as the reverse complement.
TTCCCGGGTTCAAGTGATTCTCCTGCCTCAGCCTCCCAAGTAGCTAGGACTACAGGCATGTGCCACCACGCCTGGCTAATTTTTGTATTTTTAGTAGAGATGGGGTTTCACTATATTGGCCAGGCTGGTCTTGAACTCCTGACCACGTGATCCGCCCTCCTCAGCCTCCCAAAGTGCTGGGATTATAGGCTTGAGCCACCTCACCAGGCCTTTTTTTTTATCTCTTTATTAATACGTGAGAGAGTACAAATGCCGCTCCCTTACAGAAGCATGTTGCATAGTGATGAAGTATGGGCTTTTGGTGTGACAATCATCTGAATGTTGTTTATTGTCCCAATTAGTTATTTTCTCATTCCTAAACCCTCTCCAACCTCCCATCTTTCTGAGTCTCCAGTGTCTATTTTTCCAGTCTCTATATCCAAGTGTATGCTTAATTGAGTTCCCACTTACAACTGAGAAAATACTGAATTTGATTTTCTGTTTCTGAGTTTTTTCACTTACAGTAATGGCCTCCGGTTTTATTCATGTTGTTGCAAAAGACATGATTTTATTCTTCATGGCTGAGTAGCATTCCATGGTATACTTGTATAGCACATTTTCTTTATTCGATTATTGATTGATAAATTTAAATTGATTTCATATATCGGCTATTATGAATAGTGCTGTGATAAACATGTCAGCATGGGTATTTTCTTTATGTAACAAATTGTTTTCCTTTGGGTAGATACCAAGTAGTGGGAGTGCTGAATCAAATGGAAGTTCTATTTTTAGTCTATTTTGAAATCTCCATACTGTTTTCCAGAGGTTGTAGAAAGTTACTTTCCCACAAACAATGTATAAGTGTTCTCTTTTCCCTGTATCCTTGCCGATAGCTCATTTTTCTGCTTTTTAGTAATAGCCATTCTGCAGGGTGTAAGTTGGTATCTCATTGTGGTTTTTAATTGGCATTTCTCTGATCATTGACAAGGTTGAGCATCTTTTACGTGCTTGTTGACCATTGACCATCAGTGTCTTTCTTTTTTTTAATGTTCATGTTCTTTGCTTGCTTTTTAATGAGGTTACTTGTTTTATTTTTGTTGAGTTGTTTGAGTTCCTTGCATATTCTGGACATTAGATCTTTGTCACATGCAAAACTCGTAAACATTTATCTCATTCCATAGGTTTTCTGTTCACTGTGTTAATTAGGAAGCTCATTTTCAGGAGCTTTTTAGTTTAATTGAGTTGCTGTTGTCTATTTTTGTTATTGTTACATCTGCTTTTGAGATCTTAGTCATAAATTCTTTGTCCAAGTCAATGTCTAGAAGAGTTTATCCTAGAGTTTCTTCTAGCATTTTTATAGTTTCAGGTCTTACATTTTAGTCTTTTAATCCATATTGAGTTGATTTTTGTATATGGTGGGACATAGGGGTCCCATTCCATTCTTCTGCATACGGAAATATAATTTTTCCAGCACAATTTGTTGAATAGGATGTCATTTCTCCAGTGTGTGTTTTTGTTGACTTTGTAAAAGATCAGTCATTTGTAGGTATGTGGCTTTATTTCTAGGTTCTCTATTCTGTACCATTGATCTATGTGTCGATTTATATCAGTACCATGCTGTTTTGGTTACTACAGCCTTCTAGCATAATTTTAAGTCAGATAATGTAATATCTCCAGCTTTATTCTCTTTGCTTAGATTTGCTTTGACTATTCAGGCTCTTTTTGTGGTTCCATAAGAATTTTAGTGGGTTTTTTTTCTAATTTTATAAAAAATACCATTGGCATTTTGGTAGGAATTGCATTTAATATGTAGATTGTTTTGGGCAGTAGAGTCATTTTATTGATCATAATTCTTCCAATCCATAAGCATGGGATGTTTTTCTCATTTGTGTCATGTACAATTTCTTTCATCAGTGTTTTGTAGTTTTCCTTGAAGGGATCGTTCATCTCTTTGACCAATTGTATTTCTAAGCATTTTACCTTTTTTTGTAGCTATTGTAAAAGGAAGTGACTTTTTAATTCAGTTCTCAGCTTGATCATCATTAGTGTATAAAAATGCTATCAACTTTTGTACGTTGATTTTTGCATCCTGAAACATTATTAAATTTATTTATCAAATCTGAGTTTTTTGGTGGTCTTTAGAATTTTTGTATATATGATATTATATTATCATCAAAGAGGGACAATTTGACTTTCTAATTACAACCACATAGATGCTCCCACCAAGATCAATAGACAGAGTCTCTGGGGAGGGCACAAGTGATGGTATTTCTTTAAGCTGGCCATGTGATTATGGCTGGAAGCATGGGCCGAGAGCCACTTAGCTAAGCCTTGCCTCTCAAGTCTGTCTGTCTTTCTTTCTTTCTTCCTTTCTTTCTTTCTGTCTGTCTGTCTTTCTTTCTTTTCTTTCGACAGAGTTTTCACTCATTGTACAGGCAGGAGTGCAGTGGCACCATCTTGGCCCACTGCAACCTCCACCTCCCAGGTTCAAGGGATTCTGCAGTCTCAGCCACCCGAGTAGCTAGGATTACAGGCACCAGCCACCACACCTGGCTAATTTTTGTATGTTTTAGTAGAGACATGGTTTGGCCATGTTGCCCAGGCTGGTCTTGAACTCCTGACCTCAGGTTATCTGCCCACTTCCGCCTCCCAAAGTGTTGGGATTACAGGCATAAGTCACCACACCCGGCTGCCTCTCAAGTTTCAATGTGCATATGAATTATTTCCGATTCCAGGCTCTCTCTTAGTAATGTGATTCTGCAGGTTTGGAAGGGGTCCATGAATTGGCTTCTTTAAAAAGTCTCCTCTTAATGCTGATGTTTCTTCCACGACATCCAATATAGTAGCACTCAGCTAGAGAAAGTAGGCACAGCACAGAGCTCCTGACACCCAACACTGTTACCACAACACAAATACTTTTGGCTCAAAGTGGAAGCCACCAATCGCCATTTTCAAACATGTCATTTTCTGCTGGCTCTTTGCAGTTTAGAAAGCCTAGAGAAGGCATCAATGTTTGAGTAAGTCTGCATTTGGAAAACATGTACACATGAGTTAATACAATGTTTATTGAGCACATACTATGTGTTCAGAAGTCTGTTACAGAGCACTGTTCAGGAAACATTACATGATGTGAGTTAATCCTCATAGCACCCTGGGGAGTTGGGTGCTAAGTTTTCTGTAATTTTCAGGACTTAAATGAAGGGCCTAGCATTTCTATTTTTTCTTCCATTTTAAAAATTATTTACCTGGAAAATAAAATGTGCAGAATAAAAGCTATATCGACAGCTGAAGGGATAGAGAAAAAAGGATGAACTGTTCAGAGAGATGTTTTATATTTATATTTACCTTCTTGTGCCTTGTGGAGCAGCTACTGAATTTGCAGGAATGGAAAACAAGTTGCTAGGTGAGGTGTCTCTAGAAGCGCTGGCTTCAATGAAAAAGAAAGTATAACCCCCCAATATAGAATTATTTGCTTCCACTTATCTGCTTTTCCATTTTAGGAAATTGTGGGCACCAGCTCAGGAGAGGCAGCAGGAGCCCCCGCCCGAATCTCTGGTCTCCTTTAATGAGTTCTGTGAGAGAAGATTCTAGGGTGAGGCCAGACCTGGATGAGGCCTTAGAAGAGGGTGGATCTGGGCAGGGCTGGAACAGAAAGTGGACCCCATGTTTCTGATGTTCATGCTGGTGGAGTATTTCCAGTTCTGTCTTTCCTAAGCCTTCCCAACAGAGACTTGACTCTTAGAGCTTGTGTAATTTTAATCTGTTTTAGCCACTTCCCTGTCAATTTTTATAACACATGATAACAAGAAACTTAAGCAAAACTCTTAGGGTTTTTTAGGACAATTATATGAGAAGCTAAAAACTTATTTTTACCAAGATAAAAGAAATAGAAATAATCACAACAACAACAATAATTCTTCTGTCCATGAATAGTCCTTCAGGTAGTGACATCGGAACTCAAGGAACAGCATAAGGGAAATGGAGCAAATGCAGCCAAGGCCCCCTGTGCAGCTCCCTTCTCCCTTCCGACTACAGGATGCTGAATTCAGCCATTAATCCATTTCCCTTCCGACCACAGGATGCTGAATTCAGCCATTAATCCATTTCCCTTCCGACCACAGGATGCTGAATTCAGCCATTAATCCGTTTCCCTTCCGACCACAGGATGCTGAATTCAGCCATTAATCCGTTTCCCTTCCGACCACAGGATGCTGAATTCAGCCATTAATCCATTTCCCTTCCGACCACAGGATGCTGAATTCAGCCATTAATCCATTTCCCTTCCGACCACAGGATGCTGAATTCAGCCATTAATCCGTTTCCCTTCCGACCACAGGATGCTGAATTCAGCCATTAATCTGTTTGCTCTAGATGAAAAGTTACTGGACAGTAGAAACCATGAATTCTTCATCTGTTTTTCTGATGGTCATGTGATATAGTTTAGATGTCCCCTCCAAATCTCATATTGAATTTTAATCCCCAATGTGGCAGGTGGGACCTGGGGAGGAGGTGGTTGAATCACTGGGTGAGTCCCTCATGGATCTGTGCCATCCTTGTGATAGTGAGTACTCGTGAGATCTGGTTGTTTAGAAGTGTGGCCCATCCCTCCCCCATCTTTCTTGTTTCTGCTTCTACCATGTGAGATGCCTGCTTCTCTTTCACCATGATTGTAAGCTTCCCCAGGCCTTCCCAGAAGCAGACGCTGGTGCTATGCTTCCTGTACAGCCTGCAGAACCATGAGCCAATCAAACTCTTTTCTTATAAATTACCCAGTCTCAGGTTTTTTAAATAGCAATGCAAGAATAGCTTAATACCTCATATGAAAAGAAAGCAATTGATATATTTACCAGTTTGAGTACTTACCAGTTTGAGTCTCCAGACCTCTGCCTTGCTTCAACTCAAAGAACAGGAAGGGAGCAACCTCCATCTACTGCTCCTGATTATGGGAGAATCTTCAGTTCATCTTAAAACATTTCAGTCAAAAGCACCGTGTTTTATGTAGAAGAATGAGGGTGTCTGAAAGAATGGGTCTCTTTATTTATTTTTATTTCTGAGACAGGGTCTCTTTCCCTGTCATTCTGGCTGGGGTGCAGTGGTTCACTGCAGCTTTGACATTCTGTGCTCCAGCGATTCTCCCACCTCAGCCTCCCAAGTAGCTGGGACCACACGTGCACACTACCACAACCAGATAATATTTGTATATTTGGCAGAGATGAGGTTTTTCTATGTTGAGCATGCTGGTCTTGAACTCCTGAGCTCAAGTGATCCTCCAGCCTCTGCCTTTCAAAGTGCTGGAATTACAGGTGTGAGCCACCACACCGGGCAGATGGGTCTTAACTGATTTTAATCAGGATACATGAGCATGGAAGACATGCCCTTAATTTTTTTCCTAATACAATATTTGACAGTTATATAACTATGATTTTTTTATTCCTGTGATTCATAAGGATATGATAGTAAAAGGCCTTGAAAGCCTGTAGGAAAAAAGTGCTATATTGTGCTTGAAACCACCTTTTACTCTGAAAGCAAGTGCCATCCAGATACATCTTTTGAGAAGATATTTTCTCCTGCTGCATTTTAGTCAAACAGCTGAGTGTGTCTTGAAGTAGTTTTTTGATTTTTAACAGGACAAGTGTATTTTCTAAGACCCCAAACTCAGGAGTGGCCATGGGGCAAATCACCGCTGCACACATGGAATGCATGCACAGCAAATGCATTTCTCATCCCGAACCAGGGGTTGTTCCCCCTGGGTGCACACAGGAATCACCAGGGAGGCTTTTAAAATTACCTAAACTCAAAAGGCAATAGATAAGTGAACTCAGAATCCCTGCAGTGGGACCTGAGCCATAGTGCTGTTTAAAGCTCTCTGGGTGACTATGGGGTACAACCAAGCCCCCAAACTGCTGCTTTAAATCAGCCTCTTCGGGTGAACTAGTGGCAAATGGTTTCCTGAAATGAATGGTTTAAATCAGCCTTTTCTGGTGAACTAGTGGCAAATGGTTTCCTGAAATGAATGGTTTAAATCAGCCTCTTCCGGTGAACTAGTGGCAAACGGGTTCCTGAAATAAATGGAAAGATTTGCTGCTGGGTTGTGCTCTTCTGATCTTACCTGCATTACCTACTTTTCCTTGCCGAACTGACCTCTGCTACGTATTTTATTCCTGATTCAATCCAGTTCTACTCATACCAAATGCATAGTATGCACTAGGTGCCCTTGCATTGCTGAACCTCACCGTGGGGAGAGGACTTTGCTGAATAATAATTGCATCCTAAAAAAACTCAAAATACTGGACTCAAATGATCCTCCTGCCTTGGCCTCCCAAGAGCTGAGACTGTAGGCATGAGCCACCGTGCTTGGCCTATACCCTAAAAAATTAAAACTATCTTACTTACTAAATTGATGTAAACATGGGAAGACCTAGAAGGTCACCGAAGTGTTACAACATAAGTAAATACCTTGGAATATTAATATCCATCTGATGATGCCCCGAGAAAACATGTCCCACTTTAAAACAGTACAAAACAGTGCTATTATTCTGAGATATGAAGTTAAAATTTTGTGCAAATAGGTAATATTTAAATTTTTATATATGTATAACATTCATGCAGAAAGACGTATACAAAGAAATCATGTAAAGTTCAATGAATTATTACAAAGTGAACACACGTGTGTAACCTAGAAATAGAACCAGCTTCACAGATGTCCTGGTAACCACTTTCTCTCTTTTGCTCCCCCAAAGTCACTAAGATCTTAAGAGCTAACAGTGTAGATCAACTTTGTATTATTATACATGTTTTATTACAGAAAATTTAAAACATACACAAAATAAAAGAAACAGTACAATAGGCCTGTTACCCAGGCTCAACAACAACTAATAACATGCCAATTTTGTGTTATCTATACTTCAACTCATTTCTCACACAGACTTTGTTATTTATTATTATTTTTTGTGGTATAAAATGTGTGCTCATTGAAGGTAAAATCTTGGCTGAGCACAATGGCTTAAGCCTGTGTAATCCCATCACTTTGGAATGACAAGGCAGGAGGATCATTTGAGGTCAGGAGTTTGAGAGCAGCCTGGGCAGCATAGTGAGACCACATCTTTATTAAATTTTTTTTTTAATTAATCAGGCGCGGTGGTGCATGCCTGTAGTTCCAGCTACTTGGTATGTTGACATAGCAGGATCCCTTGATTCTACGAGTTTGAGGCTACAGTGAGTTGTGATTGTGCCACTGCACATCAGCCTGGGTGACAGAGTGAGACTCTGTCTCAAAAAAAAAATAAATAAAGGTTCGACCTTAACTAGCTTTTTACACATAAACACACCCATATAAGCAATCCCTCTTTTAACAATAGAAGTACCAAATTAAAAATCATTAGTGTGAACCCACTTTTAACTCAGACTTTATCTTTTAATAAGTTTCTTTTCTTTTTTTTTTTTTTGAGGTAAGATGTGCACTCATTGAAAGGTCTAATCTTGGCTGGGCATGGTGGCTCACATTCGTAACCTCATCACTTTGGAAGCCAGAGCTCAGGAGTTTGAGACCAGCCTAGGCAACATAACAAGGCCTCACTGGGGCAAGAGAGTGAGACCTCATCTCTACAACAATTTTTTAAAAGTTAGTTGGGCATAGTGGTGCACACTTCTAGTCACAGCTATTTGAGAGGCTGACTTGGGAGGATCACTGGAGTCTGGGAGGTCAAGGCTGCAGTGAGCTGTGATTGCATCACTGCACTCCTTCCAGAGGGACAGAGTGAGGCTCTGTCAAAAAAAGGTACAATTTTAACTGTACATGTTTGATACATCAACACATCCATATAAACAATCCCTCTCTTAAAAATAAAAGTACCCAATTTAACAGTTATTAATATTCATATGAATTACCTAGAAGCTTTTTGTTTGTTTTGGTTTGGATTTTTATTGAAAGGGGACACCTAGAAATGTCATTTAAAATCTAGATTTTGATAAAAATAAGGCTGAGTTTTTTCTTTTTTTGAGATGGAGTTTTGCTCTGTCGCCCAGCTGGAGTGCAGTGGATTGATCTCGGCTCACCAAAACTTCTGCCTCCCGGGTTCAAGCAATCCTCCTGCCTCCCAACTAGCTGGGACTACAGGCATGAGCCACCACATTCAGCTAATTTTTTTTTTTGTATTTTTAGTGCAGATGGGGCTTCCTTATGTTGGCTAGGCTAGCCTTGAACTCCTGACCTAAGGTGATCCACCCGCCTTGGCCTCGCAAAGTGCTGGGATTACAGGCATAAGCCACCATGCCCAGCCAGTCCTAAGTTTTGCCTGAGAATTTCTCTTTCTAAGAAAGTACATCATATGGCAGTTACAAGGTCTCTTTTGTCTAAAATAAATAGAATTTAATAAATAAAAATTTAAAAAATTTACCTGAGATTAAAGGACAAATAAAAACACATGGGTAATATGTTCTCTGTAGGAATATATTTTAACAATGACATAAATTATTAATAATCACTAAATGTTATAATAATTTATTAACTAAAATTAACAAAATTCCTATTACGATATCTAGGAAAATACTTTCTTAGAGTAAAATATTCTCATATCTTGAGAGAGCATTGGTTAAAAACAGCAAAGATGTGCAAGTCGATGTCTTATCAAGTACTTACTATCACGTAAGTAGCAGACCCCTCTTCACAGCTTTTACAGAGTTATCCAAAACGCAGTCATTTACACAAGAGCAGACAATTTTCCTAGCTTTCTATTGAGTTTATAGGTTAATGTTGTTACAAAATTTATGAAATTACCTGACCAAATTTTATATATTATTTCATAATATATCAAAATTTATTTAGATGTCAAATTTCATATCATAATATTATAATATATAACGATATCATATTATGATAAGTTCCATTTACTTTCAGACAATTTCACTAGGCAGTGTCTGTCTACCACTAATTCTTTTTTCGTTCCACTATTTGCACAGGCAGCACAGCTGGGAAAACACAGACTCACCCAACACAGTCTCTTCCCTGTGACTTTCTCCTCCTCAAGGAATCAGTTCATCAGTCAATCAAGTCATTTGGGACTGGAGGCTGAGTACTCCTTAACATAGAAGGTCTCGTTCCTGCATGCTTTCCTCAGCAGAGGGGGAGACAAGAAGGTCCTTTTAGGGGACACTTGCTTGGACATAGACTAGGCTAGTTGGAGGGCTCTGACCAGCAGAGACAGACTCCGCCGCAGTAGGAAGGGATGAGGCAGCTGTTCTGAACCTGGAGCTCCACCACACCTTGTCCTGTCTCACTGAGGCAGTTTTGAGAGGCTGCCCTGGAATACGTCTTGCTGGTGGATGTTGAGAATCAATGTGGGCTTTGACGGGATTCAGGTGGTGTCCGCAGTGTGAAGACAGGAGCTGATGTTCAGAATCTAGGCTGTTTGTCTTGTGATCAGTTGGGTTACCTGTTTGAGACCAAGTCCATTTTCACTAGGGAGGGCTGAATAAAGCCCACAGAACACAATGGCGCTCCCAGGATGACTGAGGAAGGGTGAGAATGGGGGAAAGTTTTTCCACCGAGACTTTTTGCTACCTCAGGAATCGGGGGCTAATTAGGTTAGCACTGACTCAACCTAATCAATTCAATTTTATTGCATTTGATCTAATTATCTTCCCCATTTTTAAGGTAGGAAGGGCCATTTCATTTGGTATTTATTTTTTCTCTGCATTTTTATTTCATCATATATGTGTGGACCTAATACAATCAACCATAATTTGACATTTGTTGTTTCCAAGCATTTAAGAAATTATAATATCTATGCATACAATGTTAACACTATGTATAATAAATTCTCTTTCTGTGCAAAATATATAACATATGACAATATAGGCATGTTTAATTGTGCATCTTGAAAGGTGAACAGGATCATAAATCCTTCCAGGTAGGAACTGGGACAGAAATAGGAAGAAATGCTTCCCCGATTTTCCGGTCCCTGTGCTCCCGGTTCTTTGTTTTCTGGACACCATGACAGGATCCTGAAAATGTCTCCCTTTAACTGTGTCTAGGTCCCCAGTAGAACTACAGCAAGAAACTTCTGATTGAGGCTCTAAGAAGCGGCAGGAATGAGAAAACTCTTCAGCCAATAAGAGTAAGCCACGCCCAGCCGAGGGACGTATAAAAGGCAGGTCTAGCAGACTAACCCACACTCTGCCTTTGGACGTGAGAGAGAGCGCACCTTTCACTTGAGCTTCAACATGGGAAAGGGAAATGAAGACTCCGATCTCCACTGCTCCTCCATCCAGTGCTCCACTGACCAGCCCCCTTTCCAACAGATCTCCTTTACAGAAAAGGGCTCAGATGAGAAGAAACCATTCAAAGAAAAAGGCAAGACCGCCTTCTCCCATTCCAGTGAGAAGCACATACAAAGGCAAGGTAAGGCCTTGGGCTGCTCCTGTGGAGTCTGGAAGGAGGGTTGGAATCAGGGATACTGAGCTGTGTCTTTAGCAGGGTTTTATTTTGAGATTTGGGGATGGGAAATGGCTTAGTGCCCTCAGGGGACTTGAGAAATGTGTTCACTCGTGACACTGGCAGAAGAGCTTCACATGAAAGACTGATCCGCAAAAATGCATCAGAGATAGACTGTGGGACTCTGCCTAGGGAGAGGTGAGTCACCTAAACCTTCTCTTGCAGCAGGATCGGAGCCCAATCCAAACAAGGAGAATTCTGAGGAAACCAAGCTCAAGGCCGGGAACAGCACTGCTGGATCAGGTAAGATTTGACTCTTTCAAGGTGAGAAGGGACAGGGAAGCAACACAGGCTCCCCTGGCAAGGAAACTGGGAGCTCCTTGGCAGCCAGGGCCGTACAGATCCTGGACACTGGAGAACAGAAGAGAGCTGGGGTTTGGTGGTAACCTCAGCTCCTGTGTGTCCAGGATGGACTAGGAATTTCAGGGTGTTCAGTTGGAGGCACTTTCTCAAACTCTCATTGTGTTCACAGAACCAGAGTCCAGCTCATATCGGGAAAACTGCAGGAAAAGAAAAATGAGTTCCAAGGACAGCTGCCAAGACACAGCAGGTAGAATCTTGGTGTTTGTTGTTGTTGGTGGTGGTTTTTTTGTTTTTGGTTTGCCCCAAAAGGCAAATAATCAGGAAACTTTTATACGAGGCTTGAGCGGAAAGGGAGTTACTTATTGACGAGTAAATTTTTGAGATCTTAGCACTCTGAGAATATTTGGGGACTCACAGGGGGTTCAGCCTCACTTCATTCCAGTGCTGAGATGGTCAGGAAGGAGTGGGAGAGACAAGTGGGGTTCACCTGGGTGTACAGGGGGTTCTGGAAATCAGGGTCTGTGGGGACTGCTCTGGTGAGTCTCTCACATGCTTTCTTTGCAGGGAACTGTCCAGAAAAGGAGTGCAGCTTGTCATTGAATAAAAAATCAAGATCCTCCACTGCTGTGCACAACAGTGAAATCCAGGAGACCTGTGATGCCCACCATAGGGGACATTCCAGGGCTTGCACTGGGCACAGCAAGCGGCATAGGTCTCGGGCCCTAGGAGTCCAAACACCGTCAATTCGAAAAAGCTTGGTGACTTCTGTGCGAGCTATGTCAGAGGCTGTTTATCAAGACCTAGCCCAGGTGTGGGCACAGCAGATCCATTCTCCACTTACCTGTGAGCAGCTGACACTGCTCACTCGGCTCCGGGGGCCTCTGTGTGCCCAGGTGCAGACCTTGTATTCCATGGCCACCCAGGCAGCTTATGTCTTCCCTGCTGAGAGCTGGCTTGTCCCAGCCACACTGCCAGGTCCTGGGGAATCAGCCCTGGATAGAGAAGCCCATCCCTTCCCTGGGCAGGAGATAACTGAGACTGTCAGTGGATCAGATGAGGCTAAGCTGTGAGCACCCTGACCCTATTCAGCAGAGATGCAGCTCTGGGAATGAGAACAAGGATCTGCTTCTTCTCAGATTCTTCCAGATGACCAGCAGTGACAATTTTAGACACACTGTGTTAATAAATGACAGAACCTGAAGAAGTCATAGGAAAGAAACTTGAGCGGTATACTCAGAATGGTGAGAGCCCTGAATTTTGCAGACCGCTAAGACTATAGACAAATTTTATATTTCATGTTAGACATTTGATGCCTTTTGGATGTCTGATGACAGTCATGCATTTCTATATAATCAGAAAAACATTAGAATGTAATCGTGAATTTGCATATTTTAGATTGTAGAAAAGTAAATATAAAATTATGTGCTCCTTTTTTGTTTTTTTTTTTTTGAGACAGTCTTGCTATGTTACCCAGGCTGGAGTGCAGTGGCACAATCTTAGCTCACTGCAACCTCTGCTTCCTGGGTTCAAACAATTCTCATGCCTCAGCCTCCCAAGCAGCTGGGACTACAGGCATGTACTGCTATGCCTGGCTAATTTTTTTTTTCCTGTATTGTTAGTAGAGACAGAGTTTTGTCACTTTGGCCAGGTTGGCCTCGAACTCAGGTGATCTGCCAGCCTCCGCCTCCCAACGTGCTGGGATTACAGGCATGAGCCGCCTTACCAAGAAATTGCTTCTCTTTTAATCCAGAAAAGGTTGTAGGCTCTCACTCTTCCAGCCTGAACCCATGGAGTACTAATATCCACAAACCATTAATAGCACTCCCTGTGGGAAAATGTCTATATATTTTTAGTTTGATATAATTATAGTAAAATTACTATGCAAGCTGTTTACTTTTAATATTTCTACATAAAATTTAAGTCAAGATATAGTAAATGGTAAATGATTGTACTTATTTATTGACCTGCCTCATGTTTCATTTCATTTTAAACATCCTAAATTTATATTTTATTATATTTTATACATTTCAATTGATTGTACTATATTGCAGGATATGGAGATTTCATCACGTACTACAATACAGTGTATTTTGTTATATTTGACGTATATTCTACTTGTATTTTGTACTGAGATCATACACTATTTCATTATCTAAGTGTATTAATTGTTTGGTTGCTTTATAATTTTCATTTTATGTAATGAAATAAACAATGTTGTTTGGAATTTTAAATTTCTTTCATATGGAATTTGTATTTAATAAAAATGTGAAAAAGAGAATGTCTTATCGTCACTTCCGTGTCATCCTATCCCTGACCTCCCCACAGCCCACAGCTCTTGTCATAGTGCGGGAATAGTGTTCTATCACTACAGGAAATGGGGCCAATTCAATGGTAATACACAGATATGAATTGGAGATACAGAGATTTTATTCTCGAGCACTGCAGTATAAAAGAATCACAGTAACGCGAGTCACACAATTTTTGGGTTGACACTGCTTATGAGTTATGCTTACACTCTGCTGTAGAATAACGCTGAAATAAATTATGTCTATTAAACAAATGCACATACATAAATAATGTGTCTAAATAACAATGTACATAATGAAAATGAATTTTATTGCTAAAAAATGTTAACACACAGATACACACAATGGGATCATATAATGTTGAAAAATAGAGATGGGGAGAGGAACAGAGACAGAGAGAAAGGGAGGAATGGAGCGAGAAAAGGACGGATGGATAGAGGGACATTGGAAAGGAGAAAGTGGGGAGCGGGGAGGGAGGAGGGAGGGAGGGAGGAGGGAGGGAGGGAAGGACAGAGGGAGAAAGGGAGCAAGAGACAGAGAGGAAAGCAGAGAGGAAAGCGGTCTTCCGCCTCCAGGGCCAGCGGGACCTCGCACTCCGGGAAAACGTGGGGTGCCCGGTGCAGGCCGAGAGCTCGGCCCACAGCCGCGTCTGCTTGCGGGGCGCCCACCAGCTCACCAGCCCTCCGGATCGCCGGCCCGGGTCACTTCATCCCGGAGCAATTCGGACGAATTCCGCCTCCCAAGGAATGAGAGCAATGAGCCGAGACGCGGGTGATTGTCCGTTTTCCATCCACGTGGTTCACAGACGACACGGCCCCGCGTTGAGCAACAGAGCGCGAGGCGGACAGGCCCGTCCACACGGGAGTCACACTCAGGCCGAGTGAACCGTGATTCCGGGTTCCACGCTCCTTCGCCCTCTGCAAGGGGACCTGTTGCTCGCGTGTCTCCCGCCCCCGAAAGCGCGACCACGTTGGCTGTTTCCCGAGCTCTGCGGGGACACAGAAACCTCCAGCGAAGCGTGGAAAAGCAGCATCGTGACTTCGCTCTCCTTTCCGGTTTCCAGACCGGCCACAGTGGAGACTCCCCTTGTTGCAGGAAACAGGAATCCGTGGTCAGGCCGTGATGCACCCGACGTTTCTTTTCTCTGCAGTTTCGCTCTCGTTTTCTACATGAAAACGAACGAGATCCACACCCCTGCGTGTGTGAACTATCACGGCAACGGCGACACCCACAGAGGGCCTGGAAAACTCAAGACCGTCACGGAAGTTCAGTTCCACACTCCACCCTTCGGGGTGGTTTCTGCCTGAAAACTGAGTCAAGACAGCGGCTTCCAGTTTCCATAGAATTACTGGAGAACCTCAGAGAGCCAGCCCCGGAAGCCCCTCTTTCCCCTCCAATCCGGCCCTGCACCCACCCACCCCACAAGGCCCTGGTCCCTGTGGTTTTCGGCTTCGGAGGGCGGGCTACCCCGGGACCTTGGGCCCCGAGCTCATGCATGTTCATAACGCGGTGGAGGTGGTAGGTCTTTCTAAGGGCCTCCTGGCTGCACCTGCCGCAGTGCACAGGCCGGCTGAGGTGCACGGGAGCCCGCCGGCCTCTCTCTGCCCGCGTCCGTCCGTGAAATTCCGGCCGGGGCTCACCGCGATGGCCCTCCCGACACCTTCGGACAGCACCCTCCCCGCGGAAGCCCGGGGACGAGGACGGCGACGGAGACTCGTTTGGACCCCGAGCCAAAGCGAGGCCCTGCGAGCCTGCTTTGAGCGGAACCCGTACCCGGGCATCGCCACCAGAGAACGGCTGGCCCAGGCCATCGGCATTCCGGAGCCCAGGGTCCAGATTTGGTTTCAGAATGAGAGGTCACGCCAGCTGAGGCAGCACCGGCGGGAATCTCGGCCCTGGCCCGGGAGACGCGGCCCGCCAGAAGGCCGGCGAAAGCGGACCGCCGTCACCGGATCCCAGACCGCCCTGCTCCTCCGAGCCTTTGAGAAGGATCGCTTTCCAGGCATCGCCGCCCGGGAGGAGCTGGCCAGAGAGACGGGCCTCCCGGAGTCCAGGATTCAGATCTGGTTTCAGAATCGAAGGGCCAGGCACCCGGGACAGGGTGGCAGGGCGCCCGCGCAGGCAGGCGGCCTGTGCAGCGCGGCCCCCGGCGGGGGTCACCCTGCTCCCTCGTGGGTCGCCTTCGCCCACACCGGCGCGTGGGGAACGGGGCTTCCCGCACCCCACGTGCCCTGCGCGCCTGGTGCTCTCCCACAGGGGGCTTTCGTGAGCCAGGCAGCGAGGGCCGCCCCCGCGCTGCAGCCCAGCCAGGCCGCGCCGGCAGAGGGGATCTCCCAACCTGCCCCGGCGCGCGGGGATTTCGCCTACGCCGCCCCGGCTCCTCCGGACGGGGCGCTCTCCCACCCTCAGGCTCCTCGGTGGCCTCCGCACCCGGGCAAAAGCCGGGAGGACCGGGACCCGCAGCGCGACGGCCTGCCGGGCCCCTGCGCGGTGGCACAGCCTGGGCCCGCTCAAGCGGGGCCGCAGGGCCAAGGGGTGCTTGCGCCACCCACGTCCCAGGGGAGTCCGTGGTGGGGCTGGGGCCGGGGTCCCCAGGTCGCCGGGGCGGCGTGGGAACCCCAAGCCGGGGCAGCTCCACCTCCCCAGCCCGCGCCCCCGGACGCCTCCGCGGCAAGCACAGATGCCAGCCATCCAGGCGCCTCCCAACCGCTCCAGGAGCCGGGGCGCTCGTCTACAGTCACCTCCAGCCTGTTATATGAGCTCCTGTAGACACCAGAGTTTCAGCAAAAGGCACGACCTTTCCTAGATCCGGCGCCACTGGGGGAGCTGAAGGACGTGGAAGAGCCCGCTCTGCTGGAACCACTCCTCAGCCAGGAAGAACACCGGGCTCTGCTGGAGGAGCAGGTTGGAGCGGGGTTGGGGCGGGGTGGGGGCAGGACGGCGCCCTCTCTTTCGCGGTGAACCTCTGACTCGGTATGGAGAGGCGTGCCTTCCCTTCCAGCTGACCTGTCTAGGATCCCTGAGTTCCAGGTCCGGTGAGAGACTCCACACAGAGGAGGGCTGTCATTCTTTCCTGAGCATCCCGGGGATCCCAGGGCCCGCCCAGGTACCGGGAGGTGGACTGTCTACTGCGCATGCGCAGGTTTGCAGGCAGCAGCCTAGGTTTTCCAACCAGCCCAGGCGGAGCTCTCATTCCTTTTTCCCCAGCGTTCTTCAGTCGAGTTGGCGGAGACCTCAGTCCGCGAAGCGCTGGGCCGGGGCAGAAGCCAGGCCAGTTCTCCTTTCCGTGGCTCGACTCCTCTGCCTCTTCGCTCACCAACACTTGCCAACCCCCGTCCCGCCAGCCTCCTCGCCAGCACCATGGAGCGCCTTGCAACTAAATGTAGACCCGAGACCCCGTGCAAACCAGGGTGCTGCCCTTTCCAGGCAAGAGGCAAGGCAGGCAGAGATGAGGACGGGAACGGAGACAGAGTGGGAGGGAAGGATGGAGCTAGGAAAGGATGGATGGACGGAGGGACCCTGGAAAGGAGAGAAAGAGGGAGGGAGGGAGAAAGGGAGGAAAAAACCAGGGGAGGAAGGGAAGAGCAGACGGAAGGATGGACCGAGGGACAAAAGGAGCAAGAAACAGATAAAGGAAGGCAGACAGAAAAACAGTCTTCTGCCTCCAGAACCAACAGGACCCAGCACTCCGGGAAAATGCTGGGTGCCCAGCGCGGGCTAAGTGCTGGGCCCTCCGGATCGCCAGCCTGAGTTACTTCATCCCGGAGCGATTCAGACGAATTCCGTTTCCGAAGGAATGAGCGAATTCCCCAGAGAGCAATGAGCTGAGACTCAGGTGGTTGTCCGTTTTTCATCCACATGGTTCACAGATGACATATCCCCACGTTGAGCCCTGCAACAGAGCGCGAGGCGGATAGTCCCATCCACACAGGAATCACGCTCAGGCCAACTAAAGCGTGATTCTGGATTCCACGTTTCTTTGCCCTCTGCAGAGGTGCCTGTTGCTCAAGTCTCTGCCCCCGCCCCCCGAAAGTGTGACCATGTTGACTGTTTGTTTCCCGAGCTCTGTGGGGACCCAGAAACTTCCAGGAATGCGTGGAACACCAGCATCGTGTCGGTGCTCTCCTTTCCAGTTTCAAACAGGCTATATTGCAGACCCCCCATTTTGCAGGAAACAGGAATCCATCGTCAGGCCGTGATGCACGGGACGTTTCTTTTCTCTGTGGTTTCGATCTCGTTGTCTACATGAAAATGAACGAGATCCACACACCTGCGTGTGTGAGACTATCAGGGCAACTGTGACACCCACGCGCTGGCAATAGAGTTGGCAGCCTGATCCCAGGACAAAGGTACTGACGGACATCCAGACACACCCCACCACAATCACTAGCAAACCCACTCCCAAACACACAGACACACACGGGCGCACGCGCGGGAACACAAGCACACACACAGACACACAAAGACACAGACAGCTTGAAGAAAAGCAAAGGACAGAGGGATGGAAAGATAGAAACGGAAGGAGAGAGAGAAACAGCGAGAGAGAGAGAGAGAGAGAGAGAGAGAGAGGGAGGAGAGCGGGCAAGGTGGAGAGGGAAGTAGAGAAAGGGAGCGGGCGAGGGAGCTAGAGAAGGAGAGCAACAGAGCCTTGGAGAAGGAGGCTCTGCTCTGGTAGACAGGGGCCCCTTTGGCCAGGGTAGGGTGGAGCGTGCCTGGGCCGGGCTAGAACAGGGGGGCAGGGCCGCCCACGAGGGAAAACCAAGGGAGCCCTGAGACGTGTTTTCACTTGGATTGGTTGGTGGCTTTGGGGGTGCGTTTCGTAGCGTCATTCCTTTGCTGGCTCCTCCCTGTCCTCTTGGTGCTGTGGGTCCTGAAAGTTGTCGAGTGCGCCCGTCCCTGTGGCGGGAGCAGTGGCCCCGAGCGTGCCCACGGGCCCCGGCTTGGGTTTCTCTCGTGTTTAGAATGGTATGGCCGTAGACAATGGCGGTGGCCCCTGGCTGGTCCAAGAGCCCGGTCCAGCTACGCGCGTCTGATTCCAGGCGTCACCACCAACCCGGGGCCGCGAGGCTGGGATCAGGCACCCCCGGAGCCGCTCGCCCGCGGCCGGGCTGCTCTCCCCCTCTATACGCCCAAGCACCAGTCGCCGCGCTGCGTTTTCCGCCGGCCTCGCAGAGCGTCCCGCTATCGCCGGCGGCCAGACCACGCGCAGGACCGCTGAGGCGCCCGAGGCCTCCATTCCCTGCCAGGGCTCTGGACTCTCCAGGCGGCCTCCCTTTAGCTGACACTCCAGGCCTTCCCCTGGCTCTCCAGCTCCGGAGCTTCCAACACTTGGGGCCTGCTCAGGACGGGGTGTGATCCCAGGTGTCAGGGCCCAGGGCCCACGGTCCTGGGATCCCCTCTGGTCCTCCGCCTTGCCGCGGAAAAATTATTTTGGATTCCTCGCCGCCCCTCCTGCAAGGCCCCCTCTTGCCCCACACTCCCAGAGAAGCCAGGGCTGCCCGGGGGCGAACAGCCGGCCCAGCCCCGCGGGCCCTTTTTCTCACAACGCCCACACCATTGTCGCTTGTCCCGAGGAAGACCGGCCCGTGGCCAAGGGGGCAGGAAGGCCCTGCTTTGTCCGGCGCTGGCACTAGAGCCCCGGCAGCCTGATCCCGGGAAAGAGGGGCTGACGGACACCCAGACACACCCCACCACCACCACGAGCAAACCCACCCCCCCACACACACACAGATACACACGGGCGCGCGCACACGCACACGGACACGCACGGACACACACACAAAGACACAGACGGCTTGAAGGACAGCAAGGGAGAGAGGGATGGAGAGATAGAAACAAAGGGTGAGACAGAGACAGAGATAGAGACAGAGAGGGTGGGGAGAGACGGAGAGAAGGTGACAGAAGAGCGAGAGGTGGAGGGGAAGAAGAGAAAAAGAGAGGATGAGGGAGCTGGAGAGCGAGAGCCATAGAGCCTTGGAGGAGGCTCTGCTCTGGCAGACAGGGCCCCTTTGAGCAGGCCGGGGTGGGGTGGAGGGTGCTTGGGCTGGGCCAGAACAGGGGGGCAGGGCCGTCCAAGGGAGAGGACTAACTGAGCCCTGAGACGTGTTCACTCTTGGATTGGTTAGTTACTTCAGGGGTGCGTTTGGTAGGGTCCTTCCTTTGTTTGCTCCTTTCTGTCTTCTTGATGCAGTAGGCTCCGAGATTTGTAGAGTGCGCCTGTCCATCTGACCGGAGCCATAACGCCGAGCGTGCTTACAGGGCACAAGACCTGGGTCTCTCTCGTGTCCCCGAGACTGCATTTTACACGAAGTCGGTGGCAATGAAAATCCAAGTGCACAGGGACGGTTTTCTTGGTGGCTGACGAAGGCAATGTCCTTCCGCGGTGGAAAGCAGCCCATGCGTTGTGGAGCGCAGGCGTGCGGAAAAGTGGGAGTAGAGTCAGGGGGCCGTTGGGAAGCACGGCGACAAAAGGGGGAAAGAGGGAGGGAGCGGGGAGCCAAAAGCCTTCAGCACCCTGTATTCCCAGGGGGTCTCGCATCCCAAGTACTAACCAGGCCCGACTCTGCTTAGCTTTCAAGGTCAGTCGAGATCCCGTGCGTTCAGGGTGGTGTGGCCGTAAAGGCCGGCAGTGGCGGCTGCTCGACTCCTGGCGTCACCGCCACCCCTGGGCCGCGGGGCTCAGATCCGGGGCCCCAGAACCGCTCCCCCGCGGCCGGGCTGCTCTCCCCATCAAGGTCCCAGCACCGCCGGCCGCCGCGCTGCGCCTTCCGCCGGCCTCCCAGAGCCACCCCCGTCGCCTGCGGCCAGAGAACGCGCCGTGGCACCGCCCTGCTGCAGCGCGGGAGAGCCAGAGACCTCAGTCCCCTGCCCAGGCTCCAGGCACACCAGGTGGCCTCCCTTTTCGCAGACGCTCCAGGCCTTCCCCGGCTTGGGAGCTCCCAAGCTTCCAACACATCTGGCCGGCTCAGGACGGGGTGTGCTCCGAGGCGTCAGGGCCCAGGGCCAACTGTCCTGGGATCCCCTCCGGTCCTTCGTCTTGCCGCAGAAAAATTGTTTTGGATCCCTCGCCGCCCCTCCTGCAAGGCCCCCTCTTGCCCCACACACCCAGAGCCGTCAGGGCTGTCCAGGGGCAAACAGCCGGCCCAGCCCTGAGGGCCCTTTTTCTCACAACGCCCACACCATTGTCGCTTGTCCCAACGAGGACTCGCCCCGTTGGCCAAGGCCCTGCTTTGCCCCGCGCTGGCACTAGAGCCCCCGCAGCCTGATCCCGGGGGAGAGGGGCTGATGGGCCACCCAGACACACCCCACCACCACGAGCAAACCCACCCCGACACGCACACAGATACACACGGGAGCACGCGCGCGGTCACACACACACGGACACACACGGAGACACACACGGGCACACACACACGGACACACAAAGACACAGACACAGACAAAGATAGCTTGAAGTAAGGGAGGAGACCACCCCTCATATTGTCTTATGCCCAATTTCTGCGTACTGAGACTAACACAGCAACTGTGACACCCATGCGCTGGCGATAGAGTAGGCAGCCTGATCCCGGGACAAAGGTACTGACGGACATCCAGACACACCCCACCACAATCACGAGCAAACCCATTCCCAAACAGACACACATGGGCGCACCGCTTTTAGTAAAAACTAAAAGGCAGAAATGAAATCCATAGGCAGACAGCCCAGTGTCACACCCTGGGCCTGGTAGTTAAAGATATACCCCTGACCTACTCGGTTATGTTGTCTATAGATTACAGACATTGTATCGAAAAGCACTGTGAAAATCCCTGTCCTGTTTTGTTCTGATCTAATTACCGCTGCATGCAGCCCCCAGTCAGTACCCTCTGCTTCCTCAATGGATCACGACCCTCTCACGCACACCCCCTTAGAGTTGTAAGCCCTTAAGAGGGACAGGAATTACTCAGTCGGGGAGCTCGGTTTTTGGAGACATGAGTCTGCGGATGATCCCAGCTGAATAAAGCCCTTCCTTCTACAACTCGGTGTCTGAGGGGTTTTGTCTGCGGCTCCTCCTGCTACAGAAGGAGAGGAAGGGAGAGAGGAATGGAGAGAGAGAACCAGAGGGAGAGAGAGAGACAGCGATAGAGAGAGAGAGAGAGACAGAGAGTGGGGGAGGAGAGAGAGAGAGAGAGGGAAAGAGAGAGCGCGACAGAAGAGCGCGAGGTGGAAGGGGAAGTAGAGAAAGGGAGAGGCTGAGGGAGTTGCAGAGCGAGAGCGACAGAGCCTTGGAGAGGGAGGCTCTGCTCAGGTAGACAGGCCCCCTTTGAGCAGGCCGGGGTGGGGTGGAGGGTGCTTAGGCCGGGCTAGAACAGGGGGTCAGGGCCCCCCATGCGGGAAAACCAACGGAGCCCTGAGACGTGTTTTTTCTTGGATTGGTTGTTTGCTTTGGGGGTGCGTTTCATAGGGTCCTTCCTTTGTTTGCTTCTTTCTGTCTTCTCGATGCGGTGGCCCCCCAGATTTGTAGATGCGCCCATCCGTCTGGCGAGAGCCCTGGCTCTGAGCCTGTCCACGGGGCCAGGCCTGGGTCTCTCTCGTGTCCTCGGGACTGGAATTTACACGAAGTCGGTGGCAAAGTGCACAGGGACGGATTTCCTCACGGCTGGCGAGGGCAATGTCCTTCCCCCGGGTAAAGCAGCCCACGGGTTCCGGAGCGGAGGTCTCGGCTGGCGTCTGTGGGACCCGATGCCCCTGCCCGCCCCTTCCCCCGGCTTGGACCGTCGCAGCGGCGCTGGATGAATGAATTGCCTGGGCTTCCGGGGAGCGTGAAAGACACCCGGGACCTCAGGGAACCCGCGCCTGCGCCCTCGGGGTCGGTCCAGTCCGCCTGGGTTGGAGCCCGGCTCCTGGTGGGGCTGCGGCGAGTCGGAAAAGGTGGGATGCTGCTGCCTGGCGGTGCTGCAGTGGCGGATCTTCAGGGGGAGGTCCTGGGCTTCGGCTGGGGCGCAGGGGCGGACAGGGTGGAGGGAGGGGGCGGTTGGGAAGCACGGAGACAAAACGGGGAAAGAGGGAGGGAGCGGGAAGCCAAAAGCCTACGGTACCGGCTATTCCCAGGCGGAATCCATCCAAGTACTAACCAGGCCGGACCCTGCTTAGCTTCACGAGCTCAGAGGAGCTGGGGCGCGCTCAGGGTGGTGTGGCCTAGACACCGGCAGCGGCGCCTGCCCGCCCCGACAGCCCGGCCCAGCCACGTCCGCCCCGCTCCAGGCGTCACCGCCACCCCGGGGCAGCGGGGCTCGGATCCGGGACCCCCAGAGCCGCTCGTCCGTGCCCCCGGGCAGCTGTCTCCCTCTACGCCCGAGCACCGCCGGCCTCCCAGAGCGTCCCGCCGTCGCCGGCGGCCAGGCCTCGCGCAGGACCAATGTGGCGCCGCCCTGCTGTTGCTGGGGGGCGTCCTAGGCCTCCGTGCCCTGCCCAGGCTTCCGGCTCTCGGGGCGGCCTCCCTTCCGCCCACGCTCCAGGGCGTCCCCGGCTCCCGAGCTCCGAGCTTCCACCACATCGGCCGGCTCAGGACGGGTGTGCTCATCCCTTCACTTTTTAACTTTTTGTTGTTTCTATTTATATTTTATTGTGCTATGTCTGGAAATGTTGTAGCTATTACTTTTGATTGGATATTATTTAGTATTCCTACTTTGAATAAGAGTAGTTTGCACATCCCACAGCTACAGCGTTATAATATTCTGTTTTGTTTTGTATCCTATTAGCACTGAGGATTTTTTTTACCTTTAGGTGATCATTTATTGCTCATTAATGTCCTTTTCTTCCTGATTGAAGTACTCTCTTTAGCATTCCTTTAGGACAGACATGGTATTCATAAAATACTTCAGCTTTTGTCTGGAAAAGTCAGTATTTCTTCTTTTTATTTGAAGAATATTTTCACTGTATATGCTATTCTAAGGTAAAAGGTTTTTTTTCCTTTAGTACTTTAAATATTTATTGCTTCTCTCTCCTGGCCGGTAGGGTTTCCACCGTAAAGTCTGCTGCCAGAGGTGTTGGAGCTCACTGTTATGTTCTTTGTTTCTCTTCTCTTTCTTCCTTTAGAACTTTTCTTTATCTTTGACTTTTGGAAGATCTATTGAATGCTTTGAAGTAGTCTTTTTTTGGGTTAAATCTGCTTAATGTCCTATAACATTTTTGTAGTTGGATATGGATATCTTTCTCTAGGTTTGGAAAGTTTTCTGTTATTATCCCTTTGAATAAATTTTTCTACCCCTGCCTCTTTCTCTACATCTTCTTTAAAACCAATAACTCTTAGATCTGTCTTTGTGAGGCTATTTTTCTAGATCCTGTAGGCATGATTTGTTGTTTTTATTCTTTTTCTTTTGTCTCTTCTGACTACGTATTTTCAAATAGCCTGTCTTCAAGCTCACTATTTCTTCTGCTTGATCCATTCTGCTATTAAATGGCTCTAATGCATTCTTCAGCATGCCAATTGCATTTTTCAGCTCCAGAATTTCTGCTTAATTTGTTGTAAATTTTTCAATCTCTTTGTTGAGTTTAGCTGACAAAATTTGGAATTTCTTTATTTTGTTATCTTAAATTTCTTTCAGTTTTTTTTTAATACAGCTATGTTGAATTCTCTGTCTGAAAGGTCACATATCTCTTTTTCTCCAGGATTTGTCCCCGGTGCCTTATTTAGTTCACTTGGTGAGGTCATGTTTTCCTGGATGGTGTTGATGCTAGTAGATGTTATTCAGTGTCTGGACATTAAATTCTTGGGCATGCAGCACCATATGAGAGGTTTAAAAAATAAAATTAAAAAAGAGAAAAGGTGAGTATTTATTGTAGTCTTCACTGTCTGGGCTTATTTGTAGCTGTCTTTCTTGGGAAGACTTTTCACATATTTTAAAAGACTTGGGTGTTGTGATCTAAGCCATATCTGCTTTATGGGTACCTTGTACCCAATAATGCTGTAATTCTTCCAGACTCAGAGAAGTACCACCTTGACAGCCTTCAACAAGATCCAGGAGAATTTTCTAGATTACTAGCCAGAGACTCTTGTTCTCTACCATTATTTTCTCTCAAAGATACAGAGTCTTTCTCTCTGTTCTAAGCCACCTAAAGCTGGGAGAAGAAAGACACAAGCATCCCTGGCCACCACCACTATGACTGCCCTGGATCAGACCTGAAGCTAGCACAGCACTGGGTCTTGCTCAAGTCCTGCTGCATGCACTTTCTGATGACTGCCTATGTTCACTCAAGGCCTTTGGTCTCTACAATTAGCAGGTGGCAAAGCCAGCCAGGCCTGTGTTCTTTCCTTTAGGGCAGTGAGTGCCCTCAGTCCCTGGCTGGGTCGAGAAGTGCCATTCAGAAGTCAGGGAGTAGAGTCAAAAGTTTTAGAAGTCCACCTGACATTCTATTGCATTGCAGCTGACCTGACACTCAAACCACAAGACATAGTCCTTCCCATTCCTCCCTTCCTTTCCTAAAGACAGAGTAGCCACCACCACCTCAGGCCACAATGAGTACTGCCAGGCTACCACCAATGTTCCCTTAAGGCCCAAAACCTCTTGTCAACTTGCGATGAATGCTGCCTGGCCTGGGACTTGCCGTTTTCAGGGCAATGGGCTCCCTACTGGCCCTGGGCAGCTTCATAAATGCCAGCCAAGAATCAAATCCTAGAATCAGGGATTATGAAATTTTGCTTGGTGCTCTACCCACCTCTGGCCTTGCTGGTACCTAAGGGGCAAGACAAAGTCCCCTTTAATTTTCCCTCTACTTTTCCCAAGAAGAAGGAGTTTTGCCTTTTAGCTACCACAGCTGGTAATGTGCTGAGTTCACCTAAATCTAGCAAGTCTATGAGGGTCATCCAAGGCCCTTGATGTAGTACTGGGTATGGCTGCTGGTTATTCAGAGCCCAAAGGTTTTCAAGTTTGCAGGCGATAAATCCTGCCAGCACATGGTTCTTTTCTTCAAGGCAGCAGGTTTCCTTCTGGCCCAGGATGTGTCTAGGAATGTCTAGGAGCCAGAGACTGGAAAGGAGGCCTCAGGATTCTGACCAGTGCACTATCTTGCTGTGACTGAGCTGGTGTCCAGGATGAAAGACAAAGTACTCCCTACTCTTTTCCCTCCTCTCCTCAAGCAGAAGGATGGTGTCCCTTTTGGAGCCATGAGCTGTGCAGTCTGGTGTTAAGGGAGTGATAATGCCAGAACTCCTTTGGCTGCCCCAGCTGGTGTCTCAGTGTGTTGCATGCCCTCCCCACCCCAGTCCACTGTCCCTGGGCCCGGTTCAGCCCTAGGCCTCACCTAAGAGTTGCAGTCCTGATGGCCTAGGCTGCCTTTCAAGTTTTCTTAGACACACAGTGCGGGAGCCCTTAGTTGCCAGGTTTCCAAACACTGAAGTTCCAACCACTGGAATCTGATTCCCCTCTAGCTAGGGCTGGTTTAATTGATCCCTCTGTGGATGGGCATTAACTGCATTTGGTCTGGTTTTCCTTTCTGCTCTAACAGGACAGCACTGAGTGCAGTGCGTCACAATTGCTGTGTTCTCCCTCCTGCAGAACCCAGAGTTGTTGTCTGCACCATGCCATCACTGCTGGGGATAAGGAAATGGTGATTTCAGGACTGTTTTTTCTGTCTCTTCAGTGCCTCTTTCAGTGATCTGAGGTTAAAACCAGATACTTTGAGTACTCACCTGATTTTTGGTTCTTATGAATGTATTTTCTATGTGGATATTAATAGTTATTCATCTGGTGTCCTTGCAGGAGGGACAATCAGTGGAGCCTTCTTTCTGCCATCTTGCTTTCCTCTCACACCCAAGAATCAGAATGCAGAACTTTTAATAAGAAAAGCTTTCAGAACTCAGGAAGGACAAGGAAGACATTCTGGTTCTCCATGCTTAACATTGGACTGTTTCTTCAACTTAGGTGCATAGCACTGACTAATCAGGGATTATCATAGATAATTTGACTTGGACTATGCAGTTCATTCAAATTCTTTATCTAGACAATTTAAGTACTAGCTGATTTGGCATGAAAATCTGGCAAAGTATTTTCTTGGTATTCAATTGATTTTTATTCTGCTTGGGTTAGCAATTTTATTAACCAGTCAGTCTCTTCATTAAAGTTCTGGAAATTCTTACCCAGTTCAAATAATATAATTCTAAAGTTCTCAAAAACCTATATTCAAGAGTACTTCTCAGGGCCTTCTCCATCCTTTCATGAACCTCCTTAAAGAAACAATATTCCAGGATTTTGCAAGCTTGTAAAGTTTTCACAAACTGCCTCAGAATTAAGCAATTTACAGTGGAAATGACTTTAAACTATCATAGTTAGACATAATTGGCAAGATAATTTTATTATTTACAGGCGTGAGCCACCATGCCCAGCCTCTAAAGTTAATTTAATAAAACTTTATAAATAAATTTATCAAATGTTGTCATCTTTTAATCCCAGATTTTTGTGAACGTATGCTTTGCATTTTCCCCCAACTTTCTATATTTATCTAGTTTTATCTAGTTTTTTTTTACTTCTTCAATTTGAAATCTTTAAGTAACTTCAAACCAAAAAAAAATTAAAACACATTTTTATGTCTTTATAAGTTTTATCATCAAAAGCGTATGTTCACAAGCCTGTAATCCCAGCACTTTGGGAGGCCGAGGCAGGTGCATCACTTGAGGTCAGGGGTTCGAGATCAGCCTGGCCAACATGTTGAAACTCCATCTCTACTAAAAATACAAAAATTAGCCGGGTGTGGTTGCGAGCACCTGTAATCCCAGCTAGTTGGGAGGCTGAGGCAGGTGAATCACTCGAACCGGGGAGGCAGAGGTTGC
Source organism: Homo sapiens (assembly GCF_000001405.40). Lineage (NCBI taxonomy): Eukaryota > Metazoa > Chordata > Mammalia > Primates > Hominidae > Homo > Homo sapiens. The sequence goes on along the minus strand of NW_015495301.1, from coordinate 103,105 downwards.
AGTGAGCTGAGATCATGCCACTGCATGCCAGCCTGGGCAACAGAGCAAGACTCGTTCTCAAAAAAAGAAAAAAAAAGCGTATCTTGCTTTTTATACACTCTGTATGCAGAATTGTTTCTCTCATGTCTAGTAATTAAGTCTTAGGAGCCCCAATTTTCAGTGAAAACCCTAAAAAGTGATTTTCAACTGTCTTGTATCAGTATTTTTAGATAAAAACCATTTTATAACTTTTAAGAAATATAATTCTTCAAATTACTGTTTATTAACAGAACTAAAGCTATTTAGGTTTTGTATACCATATACAAGTAACGTGTCATGGTATATAGACCTAAACTAATTTTTAATGGTTAGTATTTCAATATTTTAGCTTACAAATGACTCAAGATATTTTATGGTTATGTATTACTTAATTTAATGTGATTTTAAGATTTTAAATTAATGAACAGAATTTTGAAACTATGACACAGGTGGCATCCGTAATGTCTTCCCTCAGTAATCCTCGGTTCCAAGTAGCCACATGGCACCCAGGAGAACTATGAAGATCAGGGCCTGCCTGAGTCCATTAGGACTAAAGACAGAACTGTGAAGGCTATAACTGGAGGATCCAACCCCGCCTAAAATAGCCAGGAGGCAAAACAGGGAAAGCATAGAAAGAAGGGGCCGATTGGGCTTGATTCTGGCTTGTAGCTGCTGGTCTAGGCACTGAGAATGTGTCTCCATACTTCTTCATGTTCACCTATCAAGACCCATGAATCAAGAAACTCTCAACAAAAGACGTAAGCTCACAGTTAAATCAAGCAAGTATCTAATTATTTTTAATGGATAATTGTAAAGCCATTTCTATTTAACGATTTAAGAATGAGCTTTATTTACAAAATATTATTACATACATGTAACACATATAGACATACAAACACACAGGAGCAGATCTTACAGCTTTCATAAAGGATTTAAAAAATGTTTTATTTTAGGTTTGGGGGTACATGTGAAGGTTTGTTACATAGATAAACTCATAACACAGGGGCTTGTTATACAGATTATTTCATAACACAAGTATTAAGCCCAGTACCCCACAGTTATCTTTTCTGTTCCTCTCCCTTCTCCCACCTTCCCCGCTCAGGTAGACCCCCAGTGTCTGTTGTCTGTTGTTCCCTTGTGTTCATAAGTTCTCATTATTTAGCTCCCATTTACAAGTGAGAACACGTAGCTGCATAGTATTCCATGGTGCATATGTGTGTTCTGTGTGGGAAACGTGTGAGGAAAGAAAAGAAACACACAATACTTTTAAAGGTAAACAGACTTTACCCCGAGTATATGGCAATATAGATATAATAAGCAAATGATACAACAAACAAATTTTAATGGGAAGGGGAGAAGGGAAAAAGTATATACATACATTTATATACATTTACACTCACCAGACTGTGGAGGATTCATCACCAGACTGGGAAACAACAGCCTGGGATTCAGAATTGGCCACTAGTCCGTGCACAGATGAGGAGAGGTCCCAGGAAGCTTCGGTGCGATCTGGAAACCGAGCTCTTTTTGTAACAAGTTGTTTGTCATGAGGCCCAGTCATGAGGGCCCTTTGCAACTGAGCTCAAGGAACACAAAAAGGTCAATTTGTTTTTGCAATTGCCTGTTGTTTTTCAATAACTGTTTTTCAATAACTGTTGTTTTTCAATAACTGTTTCTCCGAAGCAGCACTGGATGGATGCCTCAAGGGGCTCACACAACTCATTCCAGGACTTAGTGACCATTGTTTGTGTCCATGTTCAATTGAGTTCAAATTTAATATTTAACTTTTCCTCCACAGTGTGCCATATTATCTGCATCCAATCTGTCATCGTTGGGCATTTAGGTTGATTCCATGTCTTTACTATTGTGAATAGTGCTGCAACAAACATTTACGTGCTTGTGTCCTTATGACAGAACAATTTATATACCTCTGGGTATATACCCAGTAGTGAGATTGCTGGGTCAAGTGATAGTTCTGCTTTTATCTCTTTCGAGGAAAGCACTGTTGTGCTTTCCACAATGGTGGGACCAATGTACACTCCCACCAACAGTGTATGTCTTCTCTTTCTCCACAACCTTGCCAGCATCTGTTATTTTTTGACTTTTTCATAGTAGCCATCCTGACTGGTGTGAGATGGTGTCTCACTGTGCCTTTGATTTGCATTTCTCTAATGATCAGTGATATTGAGCTTTGTATTCTATGGTTGTTGGTCACATGTATATATTCTTTTGAAAAGCGTTCATGTCCTTTGCCCACTTTTTAAACACTTTTTTATTTCCATAGGTTTTAGGACAACAGGGGGCATTTGGTTACATTGGTAAGTTATTGATTGATTTGTAAGATTTTGGTGCATCCATCACCTCATCTGTATACACTGAACCCAATCTGTAGCCTTTTATCCCTCACCACCTTCTCCCCTTTCTCCGAGTCCCCAAAGTCCATTGTGTCATTCTTATGCTTTTGCATCCTTATAGCTTAGCTCCCAATTATAAGTGAGAATATATGATGTTTGGTTTTCCATTCCTGAGTTACTTCACTTAGAATAATAGTCTTCAATCCCATCCAGGTTGCTGCAACTGCCATTAATTCATTCCTTTTTGTGGCTGAGTGGTATTCCATCGTACGTATGTACCACAGTTTCTTCATCCACTCGTTGATTGATGGGCACTTGGATTGGTTCTACATTTTTGCAATTGCAAATTGTGCTGCCATAAATATGTGTGTGCAAGTATCTTTTTTCTTATAATGACTTTTTTTTCCTCTGGGTACATAGCCAGTAGTGGGATTGGTGGATCAAATGGTACTTCTACTTTTAGTTCTTTAAGGAATCGCCACACTATTGTCCATAGTGATTGTACTAACTTGCATTCCCACCAGCAGTGCAGAAGCGTTCCCTTTTCACCACATTCACACCAACATCTACTATTTTTTTATTATGACCATTCTTGTGGGAGTAGGGTGGCATTGCATTGTGGTTGTAATTTGCATTTCCCTGATCATTAGTTATGTTGAGCATTTTTTCATATGTTTGTTGGCCATTTGTATATCTTCTGAGAATTGTCTATGACCGTAGTGCCAAAAGCAATCTACAAATTCAATGCAATTGCCATCAAAATACCATCATCATTCTTCACAGAACTAGAAAAAACAATCCTAAAATTCATATGGAACCAAAAAGGAGCCCGCATAGCCAAAGCAATATTAAACAAACAGAACAAATCAGAAGGCATCACATTACCTGATTTCAAACTATATCATAAGACCATAGTCACCAAAACAGCATGGTTCTTGTATAAAAACAGGCACATAGACAAATAGAACATAATGAAGAACCCAGAAATTAACCCAAATATTTACAGCCAACTGATCTTTGACAAAGCAAACAAAAACAAAGTGGGGAAAGAACACCCTACCCAACAAATGGTACTGGGATAATTGGCAAGCCACAAGTAGGAGAATGAAATTGGATCTTTATCTCTCACCTTATACAAAAATCAACTCAAGATGGATCAAGAACTTAAATCTAGGACCTGAAAGTATAAAAATTCTAGATGATGACATCAAAAAAACCCTTCTAGACATTGGCTTAGGCAAAGATTTCATGACCAAGAACCCAAAAGCAAATGCAAGAAAAACAAAGATAAATAGGTGGGATTTAATTAAACTAAAGAGCTTTTTCACGGCAAAAGGAACAGTCAGCAGAGTAAACAGACAATCCACAGAATGGGAGAAAATCTTCACAATCTGTATATCTGACAAAGAACTAATATCCAGAATATACAATGAGCTCAAACAAATTAGCAAGAAAAAAACAAACAATCCCATCAAAAAGTAGGCTAAGGACATGCATAGACAATTCTTTGGACACTTTTTAATAGGGTTGTTTTTCTCTTGTAAATTTAAGTTCCTTATATTGAATATTAGATCCTTGTCAGAGACATAGTTTGTAAATACTTTTTCTCCTTTTATAGGTTGTCTGTTCACTCTATTGATAATTTCTTTTGCTGAGCAGAAGCTTTTAAGTTTAATTAGATCCCACTTGTCAATAGTTGCATTTGTTGTAATTGTTTTTGGTGTCTTTATCATGAAATCTTTGCCTGTTTCTATGTCCAGGATGGTATTGCCTAGGTTGTCTTCCAGGGCTTTTATAGTTTTGGGTTTTACATTTAAGTATTTAATCCATCTTGGGTTGATTTTTGTGTGTGGTATAAGGAAGAAGACCAACTTCAATCTTCTGCATATGGCTAGCAAGTTATTCCAGCACCATTTATTGAATAGGGAATCTTTTCCCCATTGCTTGTTTTTGCCAGCTTTGTCAAAGATTAGATAATTGTAGGTCTGTGGTCTTATTTCTGGGCTCTCTATTCTGTTCCATTGGTGTATGTGTCTGTTTTTATACCAGTACCGTGCTGTTTTGGTTACTGTAGTGCTGTAGTATAGTTTGAAGTCAAGTAATGTGATGCCTCAAGCTTTGCAGATTGCCTTGGCTACTTAGGTTCTTTCTTGGTTCTGTGCGAATTTTTAAATAGCTTTTTCTACTTCCGTGAAGCCTGTCATTGGTAGTTTAATATAGCTTTGGGCAGTACAACCATTTAAATGATATTACTTCTTTCTCTCCATTAACATGGAATGATTTTTCATTTGTTTGTGTTTTTTCTGACTTCTTTGAGCAGTGTTTTGTAATTTTCATTATAGAGATTTTTCACCACCCTGGTTAGCTGTATTCCTATGTATTTTATTCTTTTTGTGGAAATTGTGAATAAAATTGCCTCTCTGATTTGGCTCTTAGTTTGGCTCTTCTTGGTGTATAGGAATGTTAGCAAATTTTGTACATTGATTTTGTATCCTGAAACTGTGTGGAAGTTGTATCAGCTTAAGGAGCTTTTGGGTCACAACTATAGGGTTCAGATAGAGAATTATGTTGTCTGCAAACAGAGGTAGTTGGACTTCTCTTTCTATTTAAATACACTTTATTTCTTTCTCTTGTCTGATTGCTCCAGCAAGGACTTCTAATACTGTGTTGAATAGGAGTGGTGAGAGAGGGCATCTTTGTCTTGTGCCAGTTTTCAAGGAGAATGCTTCCAGACTTTGCCCATTTAGTATAATGCTGGCTGTGAGTTTGTCATAGGTGGCCTTTATTATTTTGAGGTATGTTCCTTCAATATCTCATTTATTGAGACTTTTTAACATGAAGCATTGCTGAATTTTACTGAAGGCTTTTCTGCGTCTATTGAGACAATTATGTGGTTCTTGTCTTTAGTTTTATTTATGTTATAAATCACATTTTATTGATTTGCCCATGATGGACCAACCTTCCATTCTAGGGAAGAATCCTACTCCTCTGTGGTGAATTAGACTTTTGATGTGTTGCTGGATTCGGTTTGCAAGGATTTTGTTGTGGATTATTGAATGGATGTTCATCAAGGATACTGGCCTGAAGCTTTCTTTTTTTGTTGTGTCACTGCCAGGCTTTGGTATCAGGATGATGCTGGCCTTGTAGAACAAGTTGGGGAAGAGTCCCTCCTCCTCTATTTCTTGAAATAGTTTTAGTAGGAATGGTACTGGCTCTTCTTCGTATATCTGTTAAAATTTTACTATTAATCTATCAGGTCCTGGGCTTTTTTTTTTTTTTTTTTTTTTTTTTTTGCTTGGTAGGCTATTTACTACTGATTGAATTTTTGGAGCTCATTATTGGTCTGTTCAGGGACTCAGTTTCTTCCTGGTTCAGCCTTGAGATGGTGTATGTGGCCAGGAATTTATCCATCTTTTCTAGGGTTTCTAGTTTGTGTGTGTAGATGTGTTCATAGTAGTTGCTGGTTGTTATTTTTATTTCTCTGGGGTCAGTGGTAACATTCCCTTCATCATTTCTAATTTTATTTGAATCTTCTCTCTTTTCTTCTTTATTCATCTAGCTAGTACCCTATCTATCTTATTAATTTTTTCAAAAAACTTTGATTAAGTGATTTTTTGAATAGTTTTTCATGTCTCTATTTCTTTCAGTTCTGCTCTGATTTTAGTTATTTCTTGTCTTCTATAAACTTTGTGGTTGAATTCTTCTTGCTTCTCTAATTCTTTCAGTTGTGATGTTAGGTTGTTAATTTGAGATCTTTCTAACTTTTTGATGTGGGCATTATTTCTTATGCCCTACCCTAACTTTTCTCCTTCTCCTAGAAAACTCAGAACTATGCTTTCTAAACCAATTCAAACTTTCTCAGTGAATCAACCTGGTCTCCCTGAGGCAAAGTTAGCAATTTTCCATTACGCATGGTCCTCTTTCTCTCTAAGAATATCTAACGCGACAATGCAAGTGTTTCATCCCTCCTGGGTATGCGAGGAATTCCTTTTGGCTGAGACCAAGACTTAAAACCTCAACATTAATGAAGATCTATTTAGAAAGCCTCCATTTTTTTATAGCAGCATGATTTATAATCCTTTGGATATATACCCAGTAATGGGATGGCTGGGTCAAATGCTATTTCTAGTTCTAGATCCTTGAGGAATCGCCACACTGTCTTCCACAGTGGTTGAACTAGTTTACAGTCCCACCAACAATGTAAAAGTGTTCCTATTTCTCCACATCCTCTCCAGCACCTGTTGTTTCCTGACTTTTTAATGATCACCATTCTAACTGGTGTGAGATGGTATCTCATTGTGGTTTTGATTTGCATTTCTCTGATGGTCAGTGATGATGAGCATTTTTTCATGTGTTTTTTGGCTGCATAAATGTCTTCTTTTGAGAAGTGTCTGTTCATATCCTTCACCCACTGGGGTTGTTTGTTTTTTTCTTGTAAATTTGTTTGAGTTCTTTGCAGAAATAGCTATACTTATACCAGACAAAAATAGATTTCAACAGAAGACTGTAGAAAGAGATTAAAAAGGTCATTATATAATAATAAACAGATCAATTCATCAAGAGGATATAATAATTGAAAATATATATGCACTCAACACTAAAGCACCTAGATAAATGAAGCAAATATTATAAGAGCTAAAGAAAGAGACCTCAATACAATAATGGCTGGACACTTCAATACCCCACTTTAGGCATTGGATAGACCTTGCAGACAGAAAATCAACAAAGAAACATCAGACAATCTGCACTATAGAACAAATGAACCTAATAGATATTTACAGAAAATTTCATGCAACAGCTGCAGAATAAACATTCTTCTCCTCAGCACATGGGTTATTCTCAAGGATAGACCATATGTTAAGTAACAAGTCTAAAAACATTCCAAAAAATTGAAGTAATATCAAGCATTTTCTCTGACGACAGGGAATAAAACTAGAAATCAATTTAAAAAGGAATTTCAGAAACTATACACACACGTGGACATTAAACAATATGATCCTGAATGATTAGTAGGTCGATAAAAAAGTTAAGAAGAACACAGAAAAATTTCTTGAAACAAATGATAATGGAAACATAGCATAGCAAAACCTATGGAATATAGTAAAAGAGGTACTATTATAAAAGGAAAATTTATAACTGTAAGTGCCTACATAAAAAACAGAAAAGCTTCAAATAAATAACCTAACAATACATCTTAATTAACTAGAATGAAAAGGCCAAACCAAACCCAAAATTAGAAGGAAAGAAATAATAAAGATTACAGTGGAAGTAAATAAAGATAAAATGAAGAAAACAATGCAAAAGATTAATGAAACAAAAAGTTGATTTTTTGAAAAGTAAAACAGTTGACAAATATTTAGACAGGCTAACTAAAAAACAGAGAAGATAGAAATTAGTAAAATCAGAGGTGAAAAAGGAGACATTACAAGTAACGCTTCAGAAAATCAAAAGGTCATTAGTGGCTACTATCAGCAATTGTATGCCAACAAATTAGAAAACCTAGAGGAAATTAATTCTTAGATACACACAGCTTACCCAGATTGAACTAGGAAAAAACCTAAAACCTGAACAGACCAATAACAATTAACAAAATTAAAGCCTTAATAAAAAAGTCAGTAGGACCAGACTGAAAAATAGAGAAGGAAAGAACATTTCCAAACTCATTCTTTGAGGCTAGTATTACCCTGATATCAAAACCAGACAAAGACACATTAAAAAGGCAAACTACAGGCCCATATCTGAGAATATTGGTGCAAAAATTTGCAAAACACCTAGCAAACTCAATTAAACAATACATAAATAGGTAAGTCATAATGACCAAGTGGGATTTATCCCAGGGATGCAAAGATGGTTCAACATTCAAATTAATCAATGTGATACATCACATAAACAGAATGAAGGGGTCAGGCACAGTGGCTCATGCCTGTAATCCCAGCACTTTGGGAAGCTGAGGCTGGCAGATCACCTGGGTTTAGGAGTTTGAAACCAGTCTGGCCAACATGGCAAAACCCCGTCTCTACTAAAAATACAAAAATTAAGCAGGCACGGTGGTGGGTGCCTGTAATCCCAGCTACTCGGGAGGCTAAAGAAGGAAAATCACTTGAACCCAGGAGGCAGAGGTTGCAGTGAGCTGAGATCACACCAATGCACTCCAGCCTGGGTGACAGAGGGAGACTTCATCTCAAAAAAAAATAAATAAATAAAAGGACAAAATCCATATAATCATTTCAATTATGCTAAAAAATTATTTGATAAAACTTAATATTCTTTAATTATAAAAAACTCTTTGAAAACTCGGTATGGAATGAACATACCTCAACATAATAAAAGTCATATATGACAGACCCACAGCTAGTATCATACTAAGTGGGGAAAAACTAAAAGCCTTTCCTCTAAAATCTGGAAGATGACAAGAATGTCCACTTTTACCACTGTTATTCAACATAATTCTGAAAGTCCTATCTGGAGCAATCAGACAAGAGAAAGCAATAAAAGGCACCCCAGTTGGAAAAGAAGTCAAATTATCTTTTTTTGCCAATGACATAGTCTTATATTTGAAAAAACATAAAGACTCCTCTGATAGGGTTTGAACGTGTGTCCCCTCCCAAATCTCATATTTAAATGTAATTCTCCATGTTGGAGGTGGGCCAGGTGATTTAACCATTGGGGTGGATTACTCAGAAATGGCTCAGCACCGTCCCACTTGGTACTATCCTCATAATAGTGAGTGAGTTCCTACAAGATCTGGTTATTTAAAAGTGTGTAACAACTCGCCCCTCTGTTTTTTGCTCCAGCTTTTTGCCCTTTGATGTGCAAGATTCTGCTTCAACTTCTGCCATGACTGTAAACTTCTACAGGCCACCCCAGAAGCATATGCCAGTGCTATGTCTTCTCTACAGCCTGTAGAACCATGAGCCACTTAAACCTCCTTTTTTAAAAATAAATTATCCAGTCCCACTCTTATAGTGATGCAAAAATAGCTTAATACAGAAAATTGGCACCAAGGAGTGAGAAATTGTTATAAGAATACCTGAAAATGTGAAATTAGCTTTGTAGTTGGATAAACAGGCAGAGGTTGGAAGAGTTTATAGGATTCAGAGGAAGACAGAAAAATAAGGGAAAGTTGAGATTTTCTTAGAGACTGGTTGAATGGCTGTGACCAAAATGCTGTTAGTGATCTGGACAGTGAAGGCCAAGCTGAGGAGGTCTCAGATAAAATTAGAAACTTATTAGGACCGAAACAAAAGTCATGCATGTTGTCTTAGCAAAGTGGCTGGCTGAATTTCTGTCATGCCCTAGGGATATATAAAACTTTGATTTTGAAATTGATGATTTAAGTTTTCTGTTGGAAAAATGTCTAAGCAGCAAAGCATTTGAGATGTTGCCTGGCTGCTTCTAACAACCTATGCTCACATGATCTAGCAAAAAAAATATATAAGTTGTAACTTATACTTACAAGGGAAGCATAGTGTAAAAGCTTGAAAACTTTGCAGGCTAGTCCTGTGCCTAAAACATAAAAAGATTTTATAAGAGAGGAACTCAAGCACGCTATGGAGCAACGACTTGTTAGAGGTATTTGTGTAACCTAAAAAAAAAGCAAGTGTTGATAGCCAAGACAATGGGAAAGAGGACTTGAAGGCATTTTAGAAATCTGAAAGGCAGCCCCCAATCACAGGCCTTGAGGCCTAAAAGAAGAGAATAGTTTCTGGGATCAGGCCCAGGATCTGCTGCCTTGGGTAGCTTTGGAACATGGCTCCCTGCATCCTGACCATTGCTTCAGCTCCAGGTGTAGGTCAAATTGATCCAGTTACAACTCCAGTCACTGCTTCAGAGGGTGCAAGCCATAAGCCTTGGTAGCTTCCATGTGGTGTTAGGCCTGTGGGTTTACAAAATGCAAGAGTTGAGACTTGGGATCTTCCACCTTTGTTTCAAAGGATGTGTGAACAAGCCAGGGTGTGCAGACAGAAGCATGCTGCAGGGGTGGAGCATTCATGGAGAACCTCTACTAAAACAATGGAGAAAAGAAATGTGGGGTGACAGTCCCCATGCAGGCTCCCCACTGGGGCATGGCCTAGTAGATCTGTGAGGAGAAGGTCACTGTCCTCCAGACCGCATAATGGTAGATCTAGCTACAGCTTGCACCTTGCACCTGGAAAAGCCAGAGACACACAATACCAGCCAGAGGTACACAATGCCAGCCCATGAGAGCAGCTATGGGGGCGGAACCATGCAAAGTCACAAGGTTGAACCTTCCCAAGGCATTAGTGTGCCCTGGAAATGGGACACAGAGTCAAAAATAATTATTTTAGAGCCTTATAATTCAATAACTGCCCTTCTGGGTTTCAGACTTTCGTGGGTCCTGTGGCCCCTTTCTTTTGGCTGATTTCTTCCTTTTAGAATAGGAGTATTTACCCAATGCCTCTGCCCCATTTGTATCTTGGAAGTACCTAACTTGTTTTTTTATTTTACAGGCTTATAGGAGGAATAAACTAGCTTTGTCTTAGATGAGACTTTTGACTTTTGAGTTAAGGCTGAAATGAGTTAAGACTTTGGGAATTATTGGGAAGTCATGATTGTATTTTGAAATATGAGAAGGATATGAGATTTGGAATGGCCAGGGCAAAATGATATAGTTTGGGTGTGTGTTCCCACCAAAATCTTACACTGAAATGTAATCCTCAATGTTGGAAGTGGGCCTAGTGGGGAGGTGATTGAATCAAGAGGGCAGGATTTCCATGAAGAGTTCAGCATCATTTCCTTTGGTGCCATTCCCACAATAGTAAGTTTTCACGAGAGCTGGTTATCTACAAGTGTGTAGCACTTACACTCTGCCCTCACACTTACCATGTGATGTGCAAGCATCGGATTTATTTTTCACCTTGTCAGTTGCCAGAGGCTTCCCCAGAAGCAGAAGCCAGTGCTATGCTTTCTGTACAGCCTGTAGAACCATGAACCAATTAAATCTATTTCCTTTACAAATTAACCGGTCACTGATTTTTTTTTATAGCAATGTGAGAATGGCCTAATACATCCACCAAAAAAACTATTAGAAGTAATAACTTGAGTAAATTTGCAGAATACAAAATCAACATATACAAATCAGTAGGAATGCTATATGCCAACAGTCAACAAAGTGAAAAAGAATTCAAAAATGTAACACTATTTGCAATAGCCACAAATAAAACACAATGTGTGGGAACTTACCAAAGAAATAAAAGTTCTCAACAATTAAAACTGTAAAACACTGATAAAAGAAATGAAAAAGGACCCAAAAATTGGAAAGATATTTTTATGTTCACAGATTGGAAGAATCAGTATTTTTCTAAAATGTCCATACAATCCAAAGAAATCTATACATTTCATGCCATCTCTATCAAAATAACAGGCCAGGGGCAGTGGCTCATGCCTGTAATCCCAGCACTTTGGGAGGCCGAGGTGGGTGGACCATGAGGTCAGGAGTTCAAGACCAGCCTGGCCAAATTTGTGAAACCCCATCTCTACTAAAAATACAAAAAAATTAGCTGGGCGTGGTGGCGGGTGCCTTCCCAGCTACTCAGGAGGCTGAGGTAGGTAATTGCTTGAGCCCAGGAGGCAGAGGTTGCAGTAAGCCGAGATTGCATCACTGCACTCCAGTCTAGGTGACAGAGCGAGATGCCATCTAAAAAAAAAAAAAAAAAAAAAAGACATTCCTCACAGAAACAGAAAAAAAATTCTGAAATTTATATGGAACTGTCACAAAACACCATAATAGTCAAAGCTGTGCTGAGTATATAAAACAAAACTGGAGGAATTCCATTACCTGGTTTTAAATTATACTACTAAGTTATAGTAATTAAAACAGCATGACACTAGCATAAAAACAGACATAAAGCCAAATGGAACAAAATAGAGACCTTAGAAACAAACTCATACAGCTAAGCTAAACTTATTTTCAACAAAAGTGCCAAGAATATACAACAAAAAATAAGACAGTTTTTGTAATAAATAGGGCTGGGAAAAGTGGCAGGTCATAGGCAGAAGAATAAAACTAGAACCCTATTTCTTGCCACATAAAAAATCAAATTAAAATGAATTAAAGACTTAAACCTAACATCTCAAACTATCACATTTTTACAATAAAACATTGGGGAAACCCTTTAGGGCATTGGTTTGGGCAAAAATTTCTTAAATAGTGCCCCATAAGCACAGACAACCAAAACAAACACGGGCAAATGGGATTACAGCAAGTCAGAAAGCCTTTTTAAAGTGAAGGAAACAATAAACAAAGTGAAGAGAAAATCCACAGAATGGGAGAAAATATTTGTAAGTTATCCATCTGAAAGGCAATTAATAGCTACATGATATGGTTAGGCTTTGTGTCCCCACCCAAATCTCATATTGAATTGTAATTCCCAGGTTTTGGGGGAGAGACCCGGCAGAAGGTGATTGGATCATGGGGGTGGTTTCCCCCAGGCTGTTCTTCTGATAGTGAGTGAGTTCTCATGAGATCTGATGGTTTTATAAGGGACTCTTCCCCCTTTGCTTCACATACATGCTGTCTCGCCTGCTGTCATGTAAGAGGTGACTGCTTCCCCATCTGCCATGATTGTAAGTTTCCTGAAGCCTGCCAAGCCATGTGGAACTGTGAGTCAATTAAACCCATTTCCTTTATAAATTACTCAGTCTTGCCAGGTGCGGTGGTTCATGCCTGTAATCTCACCACTTTGGGAGGCCAAGTGGGGGTTGGATCACGAGGTCAGGAGTTCAAGACCAGCCTGGCCAAGATGGTGAAACCCTGTCTCTACTAAAAATACAAAAATTAGCCAGGCATGGTGGCAGGTGCCTGTAATCCCAGCTACTCAGGAGGCTGAGACAGAGAATTGCTTGAACCAGGAGGTGGAGTTTGCAGTGAGCCGAGATTGCACCACTGCACTTCAGCCTGGGTAACAGATCAAGACTTCATCTCGTTAAATAAATAGATAACCCAGTCTTGAGTATTTTTTTATAGCAGTGCTGAAACAGACTAATACACTACAATATATTGAGTTCAAAAATTTCTATAAAAAATATAATAATCCAATTAAAGGATGGACAAAAAATTTAAATAGACATTTATGAAAAGAAGACATACAAATGTCAAGCAGGCAAATGAAAAGGTGCTACACATTACTGATCATCATAGAAATGCAAATCAAACCCAAAATGAGATATCATTTCACCCCAGTTAAGGTGGCTTTTATCCAGAAGTCAGTCAAAAACCAATGCTGGTGAGTATGTGGAGTGAAGGGAACCCTTGTACACTGTTGTTGGGAGCACAATTAAGGACAGTTTGGATGTTCCTGATATAACTAAAAATAGAGCTACTAAAAGGTCTAGCAATCCCACTGCTCAGTATATGCCTAAAAGAAATAAAATTGGTAGATCAAAGACATATTGGCACTCTCATATTTGCTACAGCAGGGTTTATAATAGCCAAGATTTGGAAGGAACTTAAATGTCCCTCAACAGCTGACTGGATAGAGAAAATATGGTACATATACACGGTGGAGTACTATTCAGCTATAAGAAAGAATGAGAGTCTGCCATTTGCAATAACATAAATGGAACTGAAAGTCTTTATGTTAAGTGAAATAAGTCGGGCACAGAAAGACAAATGTCACATGTTCTCACTTATTTGTGTGTGCTAAAATTCGAAACAATTGGTGTCATAGAGATAGAGAGTATAAGGATGGTTACCAGAGGCTGGGAAGGGCAGTGAGGGAACAGGGTGTTAGTGGGGATGCGAAATGGGTACAAAAAACTGTTAGAAAGAATGAATAAGACAGCATTTGATAGCACAACAGGGTGATTATAGTCAAAAATAATTTAACTATACATTTTAAAAAACTAAAAGTATAATTGGATTGTTTATAACACAAGCTATACATGCTTGAGGGGATGGACACCCCATTTTTTTATTATGCATTACTCATTGCATGCCTGTATCAAAGTATGTCATGTATCCCCATAAATATATACACCAACTATGTACCCACAAAAATAAATTAAAAATTGAAATCAAAATTAAAACCAAAGGGAGGAGAGTATAATGAGGCCTGTGTGACCCATGGCTTGAACTAGCTTTTCATGTTAACTTTGGAATGTCCTTATCCAAGAAGAGGTGTCCATTTAGTCAATAGGGGCTTAGAAATTTATTTTTAGTTTATTTATTTTTAGTTTAGTTTATAGCAATAACCTCTCCATCATTATGACTAGAAGTTGAAATGTGGTATTTAACAACCCTACATGATAAGATCAGATATGCCTGTTTAGTGACAGCCTACTTTATGACAAAATTTATTTTTCATTTATAAGTGGAAAAAAGGATTTTTAATCCTGAGCCATAGCTCTCAGTCAATCAATCCCTGCAGGGAACCCTGTTATTTTCCACTGAATAACACCACATTTCAAAGTGAGGGGAAACATCTTGAAACTAAGAGGTACAGCCTTATTAAATTTGATTTGGTTTCAATTGTAATTAATTTAATCACATGCATTCTAGAGTTTGTCCTTAGTCTTCTCCTACTTTAGGCCCATGATCTGTTGAATTTGCTCAGCTCCCTGCTCAACAGCAGGAAATCAGTTAGAATTATTTAAAAATCTCATTGTGGCTGGGAGTGGTGGCTCATGCCTGTAATCCCAGCAATTTGGGAGGCCCAGGTGGGCAGATCGCCTGTTGTCAGGAGTTTGAGACAAGCCCAGCCAACAGAGTGAAATCCCATCTCTACTAAAGATACAAAAATTAGCTGGGTGTGTTGATGCATGCCTGTAATCGCAGCTACTTGGGAAGCTGAGGCAGGAGAATTGCTTGAACCCGGGAGGTGGAGGTTTCAGTGAGCCAGGATGGTACACTACAATCCACCCTGGGCAACAGAGAAGACTCTGTCTCAAAATAATAATAATAATAAATAAGTAAAAATAAAAATGTCATTGTGTTTCAAATTTCTCTTGAATATCAACTGTATCAACTTGCATATTACCTATAATCATTTTGCTTACTTTATATCCAATCTTGAGAAATCTTTGAGGACTAATTTCACTCTTTTCTGCCATTTTGGTAAACATACCAAATTCCATCAAACAAAATGCACAGAATTCCTGAGAAATACATTTTCTCCTTGAGCAGTAGACTTATTGTGTTAGAGGAACTCATGAATAACAAGCTTCTAGTTTAGTAAACATGACTAGAATACTCTATCTTAATATGAGTAGCTAGGTACTCACAAGGCATCTAGAAGATTAATGCTCATGGTCTGAAAATAGCCACATTTTTTAGCTGGCCACAAATTATAACTGGAGAATATTTGTGGTCATACAAGACATATTCCACCAAGCCTGAAAAACGTATACATGTCCTAGGAGTGCAGCATTTTTTTTGTAAGGATAATATTAATGAGCTTGCTTAGGTCAATGGGTTAATGGTCATTGTTAAAACCAATAGCCCCGACTTTAGTGAGTACATTTGCACCTTCCAAGTTTAATTATAACTCTTTGTCTTTATAGTTACTTATAAGAAGAGACACTAACAAAAGACAATGCATTCCTGCTCTTGTTTGCTGAGGGTGTCCAACTCTAATGGAGTCATTTCTAGTAAACTTGCTTCTTTCACTGTGCTCTCTGACTCACCTCAATTTTTTTCCTGCACAAGATCTAAGAATCCTACTTTGTGGTCTGTATCAGGACCCTCTTTTCCAGCAACATCTTTCAGCAACACCATGAAGGGACACCAAGACAAGACCCCCACTCCAAGGAAAACAATCCACACAGAATCAGTCAGCTGACACCTGGCAAGTGGGCCGTCTTTTAGAGTCGTGAAGCCATTCTGGTGGGCAAGAATGATGATCCACTACTACTTAAGCAAGAGGCCCTAGGGCATAATGTTAGGGTGAGACACTCAGCCCCAAAAATTAGAGGCCCGGGGGCATCATACTCAGATTAGAGGCCAAGCTCACAGGGTTAGAGGCCCTTGGGAATATTGAGAAGAATGGATTTGGCTAAACAAGATGTTTGCCACTTTCTCTTTTTGGACTGTCCACCTTGTGCTCTCTGTCCCTCACCTGAGTGCTCTGTATCTTGTCACCTTTCTGCTCACCTCCTCTGTTTTGTAGTAGCCTGGAGGCTGCCCCAGGAAAGAGGCCCCAAACAGTTTAGCTTTTGCTTTCCTCAGCGATCCTCTGACTTTTAGCTGATTGCTTGTTTAATTTGCCACTGGTCCAAGTGACACTGAAAAAAGAGAGATGTCTTGGAACCTAGTATTTTTGTACCTTAATTATCAGAAAAAAAATCAGCAATAACCTCTCCATCATTATGACTAGAAGTTGAAATGTGGTATTTAACAGCCCTACATGATAAGATCAGATATACCTGTTTAGTGACAGCCTCTTTTATGACAACCCTCTGCAAACAATTAGCCTCAAGATGGAGAACATGGGACTTTTTCTTAACAGTTTTCTCTCATTTCTTAACCATAACGCCATCTTTGATGAGCTGGTATAGGGCAGCTGGACCCTACTTTCTAAACCCAGTATCCCACTTTTTTCCTGACAGAGTTTTATCAGTTTTGTCATAGCAGTGTGAAAATGGACTAGTACATTACAATATACAAGTTACAGCCTTCCCATTTCCCCTGTTCAGTCTGACTCCTTTTTTTGCAGCTTAATTTGTTTTATAGAAGAGAAACTAAATGGGAGGAAATACTTTACATATAGGCTTCTCTGATGCTTGGTCAGGATAAAAAATTAAAATGGGCTTCTATATGTTTGATGGAGGAAAAGACAAAATAGGGATGGCACGTAATTGATTACCCTTTTAATGCAAGTGCCTCTTAATATTAGGCTTTTCTTAGCTGGGGCTGAACTCCCCCTGCCAGTCCGACAACCCCATGAGAACACAGTCAGACTCCTTCCAGTTCTGGTGAGGTGTGCAACATGTTATTAATTTCTTCTAGTTTTCCAGGGTTATCTAGTGTCTGGTCATCGTCTTCTCCCTGCCCTTCGAGTCCTGTCTTAAGTACACACCCCACTGTCGGAACACGTGAGCTTCACCAGAACAACATGCAGTGGGGCCTCTTATCAGCTGGCAAACTTGAATGTTTGCCCTCTCTGGGAAGTGACAGATGATAAAAAGGACACTATATAGGTATATGTACCCTTTTCTATGTCTGAACTAGCCATATACAAGGAAAAGCTAAAACAGTTTTCAGAGGTGCCTGAAAATTTGTAGACAAATTTAAGAGGCTAACCTTGTTTACGATCTGGCCAGGCAGGACTTGCATATGTTTATGTTTTCCTGCTGCATGGCAGAAAGGCAGTGTGTTATTCTCTTTGAAGCAGTTGTGAATGGGAGTTCACTCATGATTTGGCTCTCTGTTTGTCTGTTATTGGTGTATAAGAATGCTTGTGATATTTGCACATTGATTTTGTATCCTGAGACTTTGCTGAAGTTGCTTATCAGCTTAAGGAGATTTTGGGCTGAGATGATGGGGTTTCTAGATATACAATCATGTCATC
Organism: Homo sapiens; assembly: GCF_000001405.40. Classification (NCBI taxonomy): domain Eukaryota; kingdom Metazoa; phylum Chordata; class Mammalia; order Primates; family Hominidae; genus Homo; species Homo sapiens. Next base: position 85,206 of record NW_015495301.1, on the reverse strand, counting down.
TGCAAACAGGGAAAATTAGACTTCCTCTTTTCCTGATTGAATATCCTTTATTTCCTTCTCCTTCCTGAATGCCTTGGTCAGAACTTCCAACACTATGTTGAATAGGAGTGGTGAGAGAGGGCATCCCTGTCTTGTGCCGGTTTTCAAAGGGAATGCTTCCAGTTTTTGCCCATTCAGTATGATATTGACTGTGGGTTTGTCATAGATAGCTCTTATTATTTTGAGATACGTCCCATCAATACCTAATTTTTTGAGAGTTTTTAGCATGAAGGTTTGTTGAATTTTGTCAAAGGCCTTTTCTGCATCTATTGAGATAATCATGTGGTTTTTGTCGTTGGTTCTGTTTATATGCTGGATTACATTTATTGATTTGCATATGTTGAGCCAGCCTTGCATCCCAGGGATGAAGCCCACTTGATCATGGTGGATAAGCTTTTTGATGTGGTGCTGGATTCGGTTTGCCAGTACTTTATTGAGGATTTCTGCATTGATGTTCATCAGAGATATTGGTCTAAAATTCTCTTTTTTTGTTGTGTCTCTGCCAGGCTTTGGTATCACGATGATGCTGGCCTCATAAAATGAGTTAGGGAGGGTTCCCTCTTTTTCTATTGATTGGAATAGTTTCAGAAGGAATGGTACCAGCTCCTCCTTGTACCTCTGGTAGAATTAGGCTGTGAATCCATCTGGTCCTGGACTTTCTTTGGTTGATAAAATACCTAGGAATCCAACTTAAAAGGGATGTGAAGGACCTCTTCAAGGAGAACTACAAACCACTGCTCAATGAAATAAAAGAGGATACAAACAAATGGAAGAACATTCCATGCTCATGGGTAGGAAGAACCAATATTGTGAAAATGGCCATACTGCCCAAGGTAATTTATAGATTCAATGCTATCTCTATCAAGCTACCGATGACTTTCTTCACAAAATTGGAAAAAGCTACTTTAAAGTTCATATGGAACCAAAAAAGAACCTGCATCGCCAAGTCAATCCTAAGCCAAAAGAACAAAGCTGGAGGCATCATGCTACCTGACTTCAAACTATACTATAAGGCTACAGTAACCAAAACGGCATGGTGCTGATACCAAAACAGAGATGTAGACCAATGGAACAGAACAGAGCCCTCAGAAATAACGCCACATATCTACAACTATCTGATCTTTGACAAACCTGACAAAAAACAAGAAATGGGGAAAAGATTCCCTATTTAATAAATGGTGCTGGGAAAACTGGCCAGACATATGTAGAAAGCTGAAACTGGATCCCTTCCCTACACCTTACACAAAAATTAATTCAAGATGGATTAAAGACTTAAATGTTAGACCTAAAACCATAAAAACCCTAGAAGAAAACCTAGGCAATACCATTCAGGACATAGGCATGGGCAAGGACTTCATGTCTAAAACACCAAAAGCAATGGCAAGCAAAGCCAAAATTGACAAATGGGATCTAATTAAACTAAAGAGCTTCTGCACAGCAAAAGAAACTACTGTCAGAGTGAACAGGCAACCTACAGTGTGGGAGAAAATTTTTGCAACCTACTCATCTGACAAAGGGCTAATATCCAGAATCTATAATGAACTCAAACAAATTTACCAGAAAACAACAAATAACCCCATCAAAAAGTGGGCAAAGGATATGAACAGACACTTCTCAAAAGAAGACATTTATGCAGCCAACAGACACATGAAAAAATGCTCACCATCACTGGCCATCAGAGAAATGCAAATCAAAACCACAATGAGATACCATCTTACACCAGTTAGAATGGCAATCATTAAAAAGTCAGGAAACAACAGGTGCTGGAGAGGATGTGGAGAAATAGGAACGCTTTTACACTGTTGGTGGGAGTGTAATTTAGTTCAACCATTGTGGAAGACAGTGTGGTGATTCCTCAGGGATCTAGAACTAGAAATACCATTTGACCCAGGCATCCTATTACTGGGTATATGCCCAAAGGATTATAAAACATGCTGCTATAAAGACACATGCACACGTATGTTTATTGTGGCACTATTCACAATAGCAAAGACTTCAAACCAACCCAAGTGTCCATCAATGATAGACTGGTTTAAGAAAATATGGTACATATATACCATGGAATACTATGCAGCCATAAAAAAGGATGAGTTGATGTTCTTTGTAGGGACATGGATGAAGCTGGAAACCATCATTCTCAGCAAACAATTACAAGGACAAAAAACCAAACACAGCATGTTCTCACTCATAGGTGGGAATTGAACAGTGAGAACACACGGACACAGGAAGGGGAACATCACACACCGGGGCCTGTTGTGGGGTGGGGGGAGGGGGGAGGGATAGCATTAGGAGATATACCTAATGTTAAATGACGAGTTAATGGGTGCAGCACACCAACATGGCACATGTATACATATGTAACTAACCTGCACGTGGTGCACATGTACCCTAAAACTTAAAGTATAATTAAAAAAAAAAGAAAAAAGAAAAGCAGTGTGTTATGGGAGTGGTAGAGCACATGCTAATAGGGTGGCAGCCTGCAACCAGGGACATGACACCTATCAAGTGGGAGGCACAGAAGTGCCTGATTAGGACTCAAAAGAGAACTAGAATCTAGAAAAGATGAATGAATTAGGAAGAAAGTGGGATATAGAGAGAAAAAATTATGATCATTTGACTCCTTGAAGGAATAAAAAAAATTGTGATAAAGCTTTTTAATTTTTATAAAGTCTGGAAAATTACTCGGAAAAGATGAAAACCTAGCCTTATTACAAGGGTGGATAATTTAGACCTTGAGAAAATACACTAACACTGACCCTTACTCCAAGAAGGGATAGGCATTGCTAGGAGTTTACTTTATAGCCCAGCCTGCTTCTGATATCTGCAGGAAGCCGCCAAAAGCAGCCTTAGGCTTCCAGACTCCCATGGATCAGATTTTAGATTTGGATTTTGCAGTTTTCCATCACAGGAATAGGGCAGAGAAAACATAAAATAAACCAAATGTCCCAAAAGGCCCAGCTTCTAGCTGCAGCCTTGTGCTCTCCACCACTTCAGAGGCAGCCCGTTAACCCTGGCCCTCACAGAGGAAGTGAGAAGGTGAAAGTCCCAGTCTGTGCCTCTGGGCCACTGTGTCGTGGATATAAATCAATGTGCCTTCTGTAAGAAGGTCAGCCACTGCTGAAGGAAATGCACTGTGCTTTCAAGGGAGCCAACCTCAGAGCCCAGCAGACTTGAAAGTGGGAGGGCCTGTTACTTCCTGCCTCCACTCCCATTGGACTATTAGGTATCCAGAGATGGAGAAGCCTCAGGTGACTCTTGTAGTGGCAGGTAGGAGTATTAACTTCTTATTAGGTGTGGGAGCAGATGACTCTGTCCTGATTCAATACAGTGGGCTCCTGTCTCTTCATGATGGACAAGCCCAAAATAACTGCTTTTTGTATCTTCTAAGTTGTCCTCCAGGGCCTCTGGGCTTCTCACCTACCTTTTTAGTACGGTCTGAATGCCTGATCTCTTACTGGGGAGAAGTTTATTGACTCAGGAGACCAAGTCATGGTCACCTTCACAGATCATAAATCATAGAAAGTGTTACTTTTGTTCCTGACCCCTCAGGGGAAAAAAAAGAAGTTAAGAATGAGCTGTCACATTTACCACCTGAGGTATTGTCTCAAGTAAATCTTGAAGTTTGGGCCACACAGGCTCTGGGAAATGCACTAAACACCTCCCCGATTCAAATCCAACTTCAGCCTAGTGCTCCTCGCCCTCAGAAGAGACAATACATTTTAAGGCAAGAAGCATGAGGGGAAATTCAACCCCTTATTGCCAAATTCTTGCCATATGAGTTATGAAGCCCATGAGAGTCTCCTTACAATACTCGCATGTTACCAGATAAAAAGCCTAATGGCAAGTACAGATTTGTCAGAACCCTTAGAGCGCTAAGAAATGCAGTTGTCTCCATACACCTCATTGTCCCCAATACTTACCAAGTCCCAGGGGATGCAAGCTGGTTTACATTCTTAAATCTGAAAGACGCATTTTTCTGCATCTCAATGCATCCAGATTCACAATATGTTTGCCTTTGAATGGACTAATCCAGATACACATTCAGCCTCAAAACTAACCTGGACAGTCGTCTCTGAAGGGTTCTGGGATAGCCCCCACTTATTTGAAAATGCTCTAGCTAAGGACTTAAGAAATCTACAACTGGAAAGGGACACAATTATTCAGTATGTAGGTGACTTGCTCATTGCTAGCCCAACTAAAGAAGACTCAAATAATAATACTGTTAAGTTGGTAAGTTTCCTGGGAAGTTGCAGATATACGGTATCCCCATACAGGGCTCAGATTTTGACTCAAAGACTTAAATATTTGGAATCTGTCTTAACCACTGGAACTGATCAACAACCCTAGAAGATAAAAAAGTTATTTTAGTCACCGAAGGGTCCCAGTCCAACAAATGACTGTGGGCTCTTTTAGGAGATGGCTGGGTACTGCTGCTTATGGTTGCCCAGATTTGGACATGTAGCCAAGCCTTTATATGATACACTAAAGGGAAAGATTTAGAGCTCCTAGAACGTAATGAGAACTGCAAGCAAACCTTCAATACTCTCAAGGAGAAATTGAGCTCTGCTGCAGCCATGGGAGTCCCCAAGTTGGATGAACCATTTTTTCTTTATGTGACCAAAAAGCAAGGCATAGGCCTTGGGTAATCTTGTCTCAAAACTGGGGGACATTCCAAGGCCAGTAGCCTAATTTTCTAAGCAGATAGACCAGGCGGCCTCAGGGTGGCCTTGATGTCTTAGAGCTATTGCTGCTACCACTTTTCTAGCAGGCAAAGCTAATAAACTAACATTAGAACAGCACCTACAGGTTTTTGACCCCACACCAAGGGAAGGTGGTCCTGGAAGCTAAAGGGCAGCAGTGGATAATAGGAGAACATTTATGAAAGTGTCAGGCCTTATTGCTAGACCCTCCAGACACAACCCTTAAAGCCTGCCAAACCACAAACCCAGCTACTTAGCTGTCAGAGTCCACAGGTGCTCCCAGCCTTTCTGGCATACAGGCTGTATTAGTCTGTTCTCACGCTGCTAATAAAGACATATCTGAGGCTGGGAAATTTATAAAGAAAAGAGGTTTAATTGACTCACAGTTCCACATGGTCGGAGAGGCCTCACACTCATGGCAGAAGGCAGGTGAGGAACAAAGTCACATCTCTTACGTGGCAGCAGGCAAAAGAGCTTGTGTAGGGAAACTCCCCTTTATAAAACCATCAGCTGTAATCCAGCACTTTGGGAGGCCAAGGCAGTGGATGACCTGAGGTGAGGAGATGGAGGCCAGCCTGGCCAACATGGTGAAACCCTGTCTATACTAAAAGTGCAAAAATTAAACAGGCATGGTTGTGGGCACCTGTAATCCCAGCTACTCGGGAAGCTGAGACAGGAGAATCGCTTGAACCCAGGAGTCAGAGTTTGCAGTGAGCCAAGATCACGATAATGCACTCCAGCCTGAGCAACAGAGCAAGACTATGTATCAAAAATAAATAAATAAATAAACTATCAGATCTCATGAGGCTTATTCACTGTCACGAGAACAGCATGGGAAAGACCCATCCCCTGATTCAATTACCTCCCACTGGGTCCCTCCCACGATATATGGGAATTATGGGAGCTACAATTCAAGATAAGACTTGACTGGGGGCACAGCCAAAGCATGTCACAGGTTATGAAACAAATTGATCTAGCAGGCCAGACGTAGGAGAGATGAGCTCCTTGACCATCCCAAGGCAGAGTGGTTAACAGATGCAAGTTGTTTTATGCATCAGGAAAACAGGAGGTCTAGATATGCTATTAGTAGTCAGCACAAGAGAATCAAGGCACAAGCCTTGCTGGCCTCGACCTCAGCTCAAAAAGCTGAGTTAATTGAACTTACTAGGCCCCTGCAGTTGGAAAGGATTTAAAAGTTAACATTTACACTGATTCCAAGTATGATTTTTTAGTGCTTCATGCTTATGCTGCAATTTGGAATGGGTGGGGACTCCTGACCCCAAGGGCTTTTCCATACAACATCATTCAGATTTTGAGCTTGTTAGAATACTGCTTTGCTGCCAGAAAGTGACTATAATTAATTGCAGAGGACATCAAAAGAGAGACTGACCATGTAAAAGGAAATGACCTTGTAGCTGCAGCCAAGGCCCCTGCACTGAAAGGGCCAATGAAGCTTATGGGCGTGCTGGTCAGCATACATAGAACTGGGCCGGAACACTCTGAAGAAGAACAGAAATGGGCCAGGGATTGCATTTCAGTCCAGGGCCCCTCGGGCTGGCTGAATGATGGTAATAAATTACTAATGCCAAGTACCAATCACAAGAGTATAACTCAGCACTTTCATGATTCTTTTCACCCTAGAAGGGATTCTTTGTTTCTGTTAATGTCTCACTTGTTTATAGGGGTAAATCTTTTCAAGACACTAAAACAGGTGACTCAGCACTGTGAGCTCTGTGCCTGACATGACCCAAACGGCCAGCAATTTTCTCCTCCAGTTAAACCTGTCCAAAATTAAGGAACCTATCCAGGTGAGAACTGGCAACTCTAATGTACCCCAATGACTTTCTGCAAGAGATTCAAATATTTGCTAATGCTTACTGATACCTTCACTGGTTAGATCGAGGCATTCCCCACCCCATCTGAAAAATGTTTACCAGAAGAAATAACTCCTCAGTTTGGGTAATCTAAAAGCCTGCAAAGTGACAATGGCCCATCTTTCACAGCAGGCGTAACCCAACACCTATCCTCAGCTTTAAGAATCCAATATTACCTTCACTCTGTGTGGAGACCGCAGTCCTCTGGAAAGGTGAAAGGGCTAATCCTAAAGAAGACTCTAGCTAAATCAGAGGCCTGACTATCTCTAACACCCATAGCTTACTGCAGATTTGAACTGCTCCAAAGTAAAACGTATAATTAAGTCCTGTTAACATGTGGAAGGCCTTTCCTAACGACAGATCTCCTAATAGATGAAAAGATTCATCAATTACAAAAATATGTCATCAATCTAGGACAGGTGCAAAGGCACTCCGTGCATATGGAAACAAGCGTCTTCCCCTCCCACATGGGAGGAAAATTCAGTTTCAGCTCAGCTAGGGATTTAGTCTTACTAAAGACGTGGGAGGAAGTTCTCCAGCTGAGCAGCTTTCCCCAACGTGGAAGGGACCACGCAAGGACACCTGAGTTCTCCAACAGACGTTCAACGCCAGGGGAGTCACAGGTGGGTGCACCTGTGTGGAAGTAAAGCTGTTGCTTATTCTGGGAGCCCAATCCTAGGCTGAGGGAGGTGGGCGCGGGGCTGTTTAAGCGTTGGCGGAGGCCGGGCTGGGTCGCTGTGCGTCTGCTCCTCCTTCTCGCGCTTCTCCTGCCGCCCTAATCCTGCCTTGGCCACGAGGGAGCTTGTGCTCACGCAGACCGGGCAGTGCGGGAACCAGATCGGCGCCAAGGTTGGCAGCCGGGGCTCTGAGGGCCCAGCCCGGGCCTGCCGGGTGGCCGGGGAAGATGTTGGCAGCGGCGGGGGCGGTGCCCCTGCATTGCGGCCCCTGGGCTCCCTGCCGGGGACGGTGGAACCGGGTGGCTGGCGAGGCGGCGGGGGTGGACCCCAGGGACAGGGCGGCCTGGGGATGGGGGTGCGGATGGGGGTGGGAGAGCGGCTGGGGCGCCTCCGTGACTCAGCCCCGGCCTGTCTGGCCCCTCCCGTCTCCGCAGTTCTGGGAGGTGATCTCTGATGAACATGCCATCGACTCCGCTGGCACCTACCACGGGGACAGCCACCTGCAGCTGGAGCGCATCAACGTGCACCACCACGAGGCCAGCGGTGCGACCCCCGTCCTTCCCCCACCGCCCTCCTGGGAACGCGGCCCTCCCCTCGCTCATGCCCTCCCGCCCCACGCAGGTGGCAGGTACGTGTCCCGCGCTGTGCTCGTGGATCTGGAGCCGGGCACCATGGACTCTGTGCGCTCGGGGCCCTTCGGGCAGGTCTTCAGGCCAGACAACTTCATTTCCCGTGAGCTGCGGGCGAGGACTGGGGTGCGGCTCCTTAGCCAGGGCAGCTCGAAATCCAGGAACGCTCCAAGGTCATCCTGTGGGAACTGTGGCGCCAGGGCCCCTGAACACCCTCCTGTCCTCCGAGTCGAGTCGCTCCATCTGCCTCCTAAACGGGCTTCGGGAGGAAGGCCCGCGTGTCTCCTCAAGGTGAGGAGCTACTGATGTAAACTCCCTGCAAGGACCTGAGCTGGGGCCGTGGCTACTGCCTTCCCTGAGAATGGGCCACCTGCAGCGAGGTCTGTGAACCCGTCTCAGGTTCGACTCCTGACTTAATTCCTAACAGGGGAAGCTGCTGTCCTGTAACTCCTGGGGAGGGGGTTTCATTTGTTCCACCTGCAGCGAGTTCTGTGAGCCCGTCTCAGGTTTGACTCCTGTCTTAATTCCTAACGGGGGAAGCTGCTGTCCTGTAACTCCGGGGGAGGGGTTTTCATTTGTTCCACCTGCAGTGAGGTTAGCCCCTCTCAGGTTTGACTCCTGACTTAATTCCTAAGAGAGGGGAAGCTGCTGTCCTGTAACTCCGGGGGAGGGGGTTTCATCTGCTCCACCTGCAGGGCGAATGGTGCTCTCACCTCACACGTGACACTTGGCCCTTTCTGCATTATGGTGGTGACCACTGATGACCGTATACCTGGCCGTCGAGTGACCGGCTGTGCTGTCTTACAGGTCAGTGTGGGGCCGGAAACAACTGGGCCAAGGGACGCTACACCGAAGGCGCGGAGCTGACGGAGTCAGTGATGGACGTTGTCAGAAAGGAGGCTGAGAGCTGTGACTGCCTGCAGGGTTTCCAGCTGACCCACTCCCTGGGTGGGGGGACTGGGTCTGGGATGGGTACCCTTCTCATTAGTAAGATCTGGGAGGAGTACCCAGACAGGATTATAAACACATTGAGCATCCTGCTCTTGCCCAAGGTGTCAGACACCGTGGTGGAGCCCTACAACGCCACCCTCTCAGTCCACCAGCTCATAGAAAACGCAGATGAGACCTTCTGCATAGATAACGAAGCGCTATATGACATATGTTCCAGGACCCTAAAACTGCCCACACCCACCTATGGTGACCTGAACCACCTGGTGTCTGCTACCATGAGTGGGGTCACCACGTGCCTGTGCTTCCCCGACCAGCTGAATGCTGACCTGCGGAAGCTGGCCATGAACATGGTCCCGTTTCCCCGGCTGCATTTCTTCATGCCCGGCTTTGCCCCACTGACCAGCCGGGGCAGCCAGCAGTACCGGGCCTTGACTGTGGCTGAGCTCACCCAGCAGATGTTTGATGCTAAGAACATGATGGCTGCCCGTGACCCCCGTCACGGCCGCTACCTAACGGCGGCTGCCATTTTCCAGGGTCGCATGCCCATGAGGGAGGTGGATGAACAGATGTTCAACATTCAAGATAAGAACAGCAGCTACTTTGCTGACTGGTTCCCCAACAACGTAAAAACAGCCGTCTGTGACATCCCACCCTGGGGGCTAAAAATGTCAGTCACCTTCACTGGGAACAACACAGCCGTCCAGGAACTCAAGCGGGTCTCAGAGCAGTTTACAGCAACGTTCAGGCGCAAGGCCTTCCTCCACTGGTACACGGGCGAGGGCATGGATGAGATGGAATTCACTGAGGCCGAGAGCAACATGAACGACTTGGTGTCTGAATATCAGCAATATCAGGATGCCACGGCCGAGGGAGGAGGAGTATGAGGAGGAGGAGGTGGCCTAGAACTCTCCTTTTCTAGGTAAAGGGGGGAAGCAGTGTGGATCCTTCACTGTGTTCTGACAGCCATGTGTCACTATGCGCTCGTTCATTTGTGTCTTCACATCTCCTGCTGCATTTTAAAGCATTTTTATAGTATGCGGTTTTGCCTAATAAAGTATTCTCACAGCATCTGGTTTCACCTCCAACTTCTATGGGCCCTCTGGCTACTGCTGCCAGATGTGCACAGTTGTCCTGCAAGGCGGAAGCTGTCTGGGTTCATCACATGCCCAGGAACAAGCATTCCAGTGGCTCTAGGAGGGCTCGGCATGGGCTGTGGACATGGCAGGCAGGCGCCACATGAACTTGGGGATGCCCTGGGCCTTGGGCAGCGACGTGGTGGAAAGCCTGTTCCTGAAGAAAAGCCTTGGCTTATCCCATGTACCAAACTTTTAGGGGACCAGTTGGCCATGTGTCTGGAACTTTAAAAGGGCTCAGCGACCCTGGTGGACAATGTCCCCAAAGTCCCATCTCGGGGTAGGAATGTGGTCAGACAGCTGGCTCTGAACCAGCAATGAAGGGTGGGCAAGTGGGACCCCAGGCACTCCATCACCAAGACGGTCTGGGTGTGTTTGTGTGGCCTCATTCTCTTCACGAGGTGGGCATGGGGTATCTGGCAGGGACTAGGCAGGAATCGAGCCCAGTGTCTGCTAACATGCACTGAACCCTATGTAGAGGGGGATTAGGTCCTGGGGGTCGTATATGGTGGTTGCTGGGCCTGTGTGCTCAGGGCAGTCTCTCCAAAGGCACAGATGGGGTTTCTGAACAGGACCTGGGAAGACAGGCAGGTGCTCACAAATGCTGCTTCCCCCAACTGGCAACCAGTGAGAAAAACGCCCAAGTGGAGGTCTGACCTGCCCCAGTCTGGAGGGCTGATGCTCTCTGGAAAGATGGGTGATGTGCAGTGTCTGCTGTCTCCCTGTCCCCCACTCCAAAACCTCAGAGCAAAGATAATCCAAGATTGCCAGGATGAGCCTGGTGAGGGTGGCACCTTTTTAGGGATAGGCCCTTCAGACTGGCAGAGTCTCCTCCCCAAGCTTCTCGGGGAGCCTGGACTGCAAAGCCCGCTTTGGGGAAGCTGTCAAATAAGAGGTGTGTGTGTGAGCTGGGTGCTGGGCAGCAAGCACGGACAGGGCTCTTCTCCCTGGCTCTTGTAGAACTTGTCCATGGTCTGTGTGATGACCCCTTGGTAATTCCCACCGCCACCATCACACAGATAAGATGAAGCCAGCACAGCCTGGGGGTGGGCAGATGAACAGGTTCTACCCCAGGTCCCCTGGGAATGTCCATCTGCCTCCGACGTGTCAGGGAAAACAGGTGAGGCCCCTTCTTGTTCTCTGAATGTTGTCAATGGTCTATTGCAGCCAAATGGGAACAGACAGGCAGCAGAGTGTCTCATCTCGAAAGAAGTGGCTCCTGGAAGCAGCTGGGAGGTGGGAGAGGTTCCCCACACTCCCCCAACCTCCCCCACACTCCCCCAACCTCCCCCACACTTCCCCAACCTCCCCCAACCTCCCCCAACCTCCCCCACACTCCCCCACACTCCCCCACACTCCCCCACACTCCCCCACACTCCTCCCCCACACTTCCCCACACTCCCCCACACTCCCCCACACTCCCCCAACCTCCCCCACACTCCCCCACACTTCCCCAACCTCCCCCAACCTCCCCCAACCTCCCCCACACTCCCCCACACTTCCCCAACCTCCCCCAACCTCCCCCACACTCCCCCACACTCCCCCACACTCCCCCACACTCCCCCAGCCTGTTCTAGGAGCAGGAAAAGGGGACTCTGTGACAGCCCCCCTCAGTGGCCCTCACTCTCTGAGGGGTGTCCTTGCCCAATCCAGGTGCACACCCATCTGAGATGGTCTTGCATGGACCTGCTTGGGAAGGTTCAGCTGCAGCAATCACTGGAACCTGCCCACACCTGGTGTCTCCACTCACGTGTGGACCTGGATGTTCCTCCCTCTCATAGTGGTACAGCCAGAGGCAGAGGGGGCAAGTCACTGCTGCAGTTCCCACCTGGGTCTGAGGAGGGCGTCAGGCTTGGTGCCCATGTATTTCCCAATTACCTGGTTCCATGTGGGGGCTTCATGGACAGGAGTGGTGCTTTTCCAGGCCTCTTTTCCACATGCCAGCTACAGGCCCAGGTTTCCCAAGTTTCTGGAGCCCCTCTTCCAGCCTGGCAAGCATGGCGTGTTGTAGGGGAAGGACATGAAGCCTACAGGCAGCAGAACCTGTCTGGGTATGTTCTCCACCCCTGGAGGTCCCTGGTTGTTTACCTCTTTGGGTGAGAGTCGGCTTACGATCTCAGCATTCTTGTAGGACTCCAGAACTGTACAGACAGGGGCCCAGGAGGCAGCAGGGGCTCGGACTGGCAGCTAACCAGTGTAGTGGGGGTTGTAGGGCTTGGTTTAGTCTTGCAGGGAATTCAGGGAAGCTTGGATTTGCTGAAGCTCTAGACGAGCTTGGGCTGGGATATGGAAACAGCATGGAGCCGGGGCCTTTCTGCACGCTGGAGTCTGAGTAGTTGCACCCTGGTGCAGCCATAGGTGTTCCCCACCTGGAGCACAGCTGTGGATAGAAGCTGGGAGAGCTGTGGAGGGAAGAGGAGGAGGAGGAGGGAGTCTCAGGGCAGTCCCAGCAGCCAGGCAGGGCCTCTGCAAGTGAGATGCAGATCCAGCCTGTTGGCCACTTAGCAGCTGCTTGGCTGGCTGCAGATCACCTGACCTCTGCTCACCAGTAAATGGGGGTTGCAGTTAGCACTTACCTTCTGGGGTTTCTGCAGCTTGAAGGGGCAGCACACACCATGTGCTGAGAAAGCGCCGAACTCAGGCAAGCTTTTCCAAGAGCACCACATCAGATTAACATCCAACCTGTACAGAATACCATCAAATCTCCCCACCCCTCATTCCAATGGAAGAAAAGGGAATCTCTGTCCTAGGGGGAGCAAGCACAGGCCTATCTATGCAGTCGGCACATGGCACAGGTGGGGAAAAGGCCCTTGGATACGTGCTGGTTTCACCAACCATCTGTAGGTTGGGTTTGGCCTGGACCCCTGCACCCCAGGAGGCCGGCAGCCCCCCTGCACCCCAGGAGGCCGGCAGCCCCCCTGCACGGTACAGGACTGGGAGGTGGGTGGGAGGGCTGAGCTTTGAGGGAAGCCATTATTTGGCCTCATGGGAAGTGGTGCAGGTGGTTGTTGGTGGCTCAGTTTTGCAGGACCTGGGTGATCACCCAAGGAGTGAAAATTGTCTTTTTATGAGAAATTGCCAAAATTGATGCAAGCTCATCAGTTGAAAAGGTGAGTAATGCTGACAGTTGGCTTCACGTGCCCCTTCCCCACAAGTAACTGGTGTTCAGAGGTGGATTTGGTTCCTTCCCAGCCTTTCCCGTTTGCATGTAGCTGTGTGCATGTACTTTGTGTACACACAAACATGTTCCCTGGAGGGGTTACTTTTATTTTTTTATTTGGGGGGATAACTAGTGAGGCAGCCTGACACTTGCTTATCTTGTCTTTTAAGTGTGGAGTCCTCTATGGAGTGGGCATCAGGTACTTACTAGCTGGCCTCTGCCAGCTGTTTGGCTGCCCCCGTTTCTGCCCTTCACAGACATGCTGGCCACCTGGTGTGACATGCAGTGGCCTTGTTTGCAGCTAGTGTGATGAGACAAGTGGATCAGGTACATTGTAAACTGAAAAAGCACACAACATGCAGAGGGAAAGGATAAATGACCATGAGGGTACTGCTCTGCTGAAGTCCACATCACATGACTGAGATGACATTTTTTCACCTAACATTTGGGCCCTGAGAAAAGGCATTTGTTTTACTTTTTATTTATAACAGAATTAGAAGAAATACTACCAGGCTTTCTTTTCCATTATCCTCAACTCCCACTTAAACCCCTCAAGTTTACCTACCTCAGAGAGAAAGTGGAGCTCGCCTGATTGAGAGCCTGAAATTATTTGAGCCAGGTCACTGTGTAAAGGTCAGACTGCTTCCATCTCCTTGTGCATCACTTGCGCAGCTCAGATATTTCATGGCTCCCTGTATACAGGTAGCTGTGTTACCCTCCTAGCCGCTTTCTTGGTTTGATACATGCCTGGGAGCATGTGGGAGCAGTTAAGGTCTGGGCTCATGGGAGGACAGTTCTGCCCACCCCAGCTCATCTCTCCAGCTCAGCCTGCATACCTGCCTTCCTCCATCTGATTCCAGAGTAGGGGATGGGAGGTCTCACACTGACCTCAAGTTTATGTGACTTTTTCCATCTCTGCTTTCCCAGACAGCCCTTGCTGTGGGACTTGTAAGGAGATTTGTGAAGTCAGTATCTACTTTTCTTGTGTGGGTGTTTATAAATTATTCCCCTGGAGGGGAATAAATGTTAGAGGTACTCCAAACCCCTAACATGTAAACATCTAAGCCTGGCCCTTTTTTGGTGGTAAAATATACACAACATAAAACTTACCATTTTAACCATGTTTAAATGTACAGTTCTGTGGCATCCAGTATATTCAGTGTTGTCCAACCATCTAGTTTATCTAATTTATCCATATCTACAACTTCTTTATCATCCTAAAATCAAACACCATTCCCATGAAGAAGTCACTGAATAGAAGACTGATGTATTTGACTCCATAAAAATTGAAACTTTGTGTGAGAGAAAAATGCCTCTAAGTCAAAAGTCAACAGACTGGGGAAATAGATCTGCCACATACATGACAGACAAAAAGCTAATTTGGGATATATACATACATATGGGTATATGTAAATATCCATTTTAAACACCATTCAAAAAATACCATCGTTTCCCATTGAATAGTGTTGACTCCTGTGTTAAAAATCATGACCATATTTTTTGGTTCTTTATTTCTATCGCATTGGTCTTTGTCTCTGTCTCTATGCTGGTACAAGTTTTGGGTACTGAAGCATTGCAGTAAGTTTGAAACCAGGAGGTGTTAGTCCTCTAACTTTGTTAGTTTTTAAGATTGATTTGGCTACTTGGGATTTTTTGAGATTTCATCTGAATTTTAGAATAGGTTTTTCTATTTTTGCAAATATTGGAATTTTTATAGTGATTTTATTGAATCTGTAGATGACTATAGATAACAATGGCATCTTGACAAGGTTTTGTCTTCCAGTCCATAAACACATGATGTCTTTTCATTTATTTGTCATCTTTAATACGTTCATGCCATGTTTATAGTTTTTGCTGTACAGGTTTTTCATTTTCTTGGTTAAGTGGGTTTCTAAGTATTTTATTCTTTTGATGCTATCATACATGATACTGTTGTCTTGATTTCTTCTTCAGATAGTTTATTGTTATTGTAGAAATACAACTGATTTTTGTGTATTGATTTTGTATCCTGCAGCTTTGCTGAATTTTGTTTATTGTATCTGACAGTTTATTTCACAGAAACCAAAAGATTTTTAATATATAAGGTTATGTCATCTGCAAACAGATAATTTTACTTTTAAAAAAATTGGAATATCTTTTATTCTTTTACTCATGTTTTAACTAACTAGAATCCTCAGTACTATATTAAACAGAAGTAGTAAAAGCAGGCATCCTTGTTTTTGCTCTTAGGGTAAAAGCTTTCAGTCTTTCACCACATTAGCTGTGTTTTTGTTTTTTGTATGACATTATGTTAAAGTGTTTTCTTTCTTTTTATAGTTTATTAAGTACATTTTATCATGAATGTGGGTTAAATTTTGACAAATGCTTTTTCTTCTTTGATTAAAATGTGATCACATGAGGCTTTTTTCCTTCTTTATGTTAATGTGATATTACGCTGATTTTCATGTGTTGGAATATACTTTTATTTCAGGAGTCAATTATACTCATTCATAGTGTATAATCCTTTTAGTGTACTGCTAAGTTTGAGTTGCTGGTATTTTGTTGAGGATTTTTGCATCAGCATTTGTAAGGGATGTTTGTTTGTAGTTTTCTTATGGTGCCTTTGTCTGGCTTGGTGTCAAGGTAATACTGGCCTCATAGAATAAGTTAGAAAACATTACCTCCTCTTCAACGTTTTGAAAAAGTTTGAGAAAAACTGGTGTTAATTCTGCTTTAAACGTTGGGTAGAATTCAACAGTGAAGCCATCTGGTCCAGGCTTTTCTTTGTTGCTGGGTTTTTGATTACTTATGCCATCTTCCTGCTGAATCTCCTTGCTGAATAGGTTTATTCAACTTTTCTGATTCAGTCTTAGTAGGTTTTTTGTTTCTAGGAATTTGTTCATTTTATTTAGGTTATTCAATTTTTTAGTGTATAGTTCCTTATGGTACTCTCCTACATCCTTTTTTTACTCCAAAAATTTGTTAGTAATGTACCCATTTTTCTTCTGAGTTTCGTAATTTGAGTATTCCCTTTTTTTCTTAGTCAATCTAGATAAAATTTTTGTCAGTTTTGATCTTTTCCAGAGAATAAACTTGGTTTTGTTGATTTTTGATATTGCTTTTCTGTTCTCTATTTCACTTATTTCCACTGCTATCTTTATCATTTTTAAAATTTTGCTAGCTTTTAGTTGTCCCTCTTTTTCCCTCTGTTTTTAGTTCCTTAGGAGTAAAGTTGTTGATTCAGTATCTTATGTTTTATAATCATTTATAGCTATAAATTTTTCCCTCATGGTACTGTTTTTGATGTATCTCTTAACTTCTGGTATTTCATCCAGTTTTCTCTCCATCCTTTATTTGATACATGAACAAATTACATGAGTGAAGAACACCACTGTGTCTTCTTAAATAACTTTTCAACTTCAGTAAGTCATGCAAGGATCAAATGTGAGAGAAATAGAGAACCTCAGGATCAACTCAAGTATTTGGAAAAAAGTACTGAAAAATGAGGTGGGGTGGTTTCCAAACTGACCTGCTCAGCATCGAAGGGATTCTTGTTTCTTAAGGAAGCCATGCAGTTTTATCAGCTTAAAAGTGAGTGGTTGGTAAAAATTTTTTTCTTTTAAACTTACTTTTTGAAACTTCTTATTTGTGGACTGTGGTTTGTTAGAATAGTGATTATTTTGTTTTTATGAGATGTTTATTGTATTTTTATCTTTTTTTTTTAAGGCAGAGTCTTGCTCTGTCACCCAGGCTGGAGTACAGTGGCTCGATCTCAGTTCACTGCAACCTCCACCTCCCAGGTTCAAGCGATTCTCCTGCCTCAGCCTCCCGAGTAGCTGGGATTACAGGCGCCCACCACCACACCCAGCTAATTTTTGTATTTTCAGTAGAGATGAGGTTTCACCCTGTCGGCCAGGCTGGTCTCAAACTCCTGACCTCAAGTGATCCACCCGCCTCAGTCTCCCAAAGTGCTGGGATTACAGGTGTGAGCCACTGTGCCCAGCGTGTTTCTTGTGTTTGATGATGAAAATCTGTTATTGACAGTAAGAGGATGGGGGCTCAGGTTAGCAACAGGGTGTTAGAAAAGCAGCAGTAAAATTTTGGTTCTCAAAACATTTGATGTCTTATTCCTTTTTTTGAACATGGGTTTTGCTAAAAAAAAAAAAGGCCAGCCATTTTGAAACTTGATTTTATTGTCACGTTCTCATTTTGAAATTCATCTTATGGTTTGTATGAATTGGCAGCCGTCTGTGGGAAATTTCAGTTTTGCATATTTTCAGATTATTTTCATTTTTACATCAGATTTTGAACAGATGCTATACAAAAGTATTCATTTATTTATTCAACAAAATTTAGTGCTGGTTATGTTGCAAGCACTTAGTGAACTTCATGCTGTACGTGCCTCACATACTTTTGCGAATGTAATGGCAACATCAAAACCTTTGCCCTTATGCACCTTATAAACCTTTAATTTCAAGGCATATTGATGAGCGGGCATCTGCTATAACGTGCTTTCATGGTCATTTAATTCACCATTATTTGGGTATACCTTATATTGAAGCTGATTACTGAAAATTGGAAACTATTTAAACATATCTGTGTCTTGCCTTTTTCCTTAACATATGTAGATCAAGGAGTCACTGAGGATCAATTTTAGGGATAGTTATAAAAATCTTAACTTTGCGACTATAACTTTGTCCTCAATGTAATAACTGCAAAAAATAATTTACATTTCAAAGGCTTTAATCTTTGTGCTTTTTTGAAAAGGAGCCTTCACCGAGATTCTTTAAAAATTCTTGCTCTTACAGTAGAGCATTTTAAGCTCATGGATATGGTCCTCTAATGGATCTGTACCCCCTCAGTTCTCTGGTTGTCGCCCTCCTGTGGTGAAAATTAAAGCTTATTTTCATTTCACGTCTAGGATGCAGTACGTTCTTATTGGGGAAAAAATGATGTTGCTGAGAAACAAGTGCCTTCAGTATCACTGTGTGTCACTTAATAAATATGACTAATATCTACTTTTACCAATGGCTGCAATTTGATGCTTAAACAGCCATCTTTAAATTATACTTTTTCTTTGGTTAAAGAAAAATAATTATAATAGATATTAATTATTTTTACCTAATTTTCTTATGTGGACTGCCATTCTTAGAACTAAAACTTTCAGATGTTTATATTACAAGTACAATTATTATTTATTTTTATTATTAGTGTCATCTTTTTTTTTCTGTAGCCAAATGTAATCAACTCCCTTCCTTTCACTTCCTTTTTTGAATCAGAATATTACACTTATACAAGCAAGAGCAACAGCTCTATATCCAGATCACTGCAGTGCTTAGAAGATACAACAGCACAATTTACAGATCCAAATTTCCAGGAAGTCTCTGCACACACCTCTAGTACAAAAGATGCTTCAGAGACTAGAGGGTCAGAGGGCAAAGAGAGGAAATATTCAACTCCCAGCTCAGGTCAAAAGGGAAGAAAGCCTGGTGTTAAAAGAAATCCAAGAAGGACTGTGTCTGCAACTCGCCCCTTTCTGTAAAGTATTCATGGTGTTTTAGTTAAAATGTTTGTTCTTATGATGGTCAAATAATATTAATAGTTATGCTTTGTAAAAGAATTTATTCTTATAATTAATGGATCGTTCTAAATTATTATACGTTTAGTTGCTATAGTAAGATGATGTCAAAGATTTGTTGCCTGTTAAATGTTTCTGGGATCTTTGCTTTATTTTCATATTATGATCTGTGCTTCCAAAGTTGAGTGGTAATTTTATTGTTTATACAAATGTAAAATAAAGCTTAAGTTTGGGGAGAAAAATAAAAGCTAGAGTTTTCCTTTCAGCTCTATAGAACAGTCATTCATTTCTATAAATGTTCTTTATATAGATTTCCTAGTTCCACATTTAAAAATAAATATGGGGATCTACACAGGTCTCAGTAAATAATAGTTGTTGATTAATAATGCATTTATTATAAAGCTTGAAGTTTAAAGTAGAATTTTGCTCAGCCTACATATCTTTTATGGTCAGGCTGCTATAATTATGTAATACCCAGTTAAATTTCAATTTCAGATAAACAAAGAATAAGTTTTAGTATAAGCATATCCCAAATATTGCATGGGGTATACTTACACTGAAAAAAGTATTTGTTTATCTGAAATTTAAAATTAACTGGGCATGCTATATTTTCTGTGGCAACCCTGTTTTATAGAGAGCAGAGTAAGTCAGCTAAATTTTAGAATACTTTAACCTGGTGTTCTAGGTCTTTCCTTTTTGTAATTATTATTATTATCTGGAGTCAGGGTCATGCTCCATCACTTAGGCTGGAGTGCAGTGGCACAATCACAGTGCCCTGCAGCCTTGAGCTTCTGGGCTCAAGTGATTCTGGCACCTCTGCCTTTGCCTCCCAAGTAGCTAGTACCACAGGTACGTGGGCCCAGCTAATTTTTTTTTTTTTTTTTTTTTTTCCCCGTAGAGACAGGGTCTCAGGGTGGTCTGGAACTCCTGGGCTCAAGCAATCCTCCCACCTCTGCCTTCACTTCCCAAATAGCTGAGACCACCGGCACATACCACCACCATACCCAGCTTATTTTTTATCAGGTTGGTGCAAGAGGAATTGTGGGTTTTGCCATTGAAAGTAATGGCAAAACCTGCAATTACTTTTTGTATCACCCTAATAATTTTTTGTGGAGACAAGGTCTTGTCCTGTTGTCTAGGCTGGTTTCCAAGTCCTGGACTCGAGTGACCCTCCTGCCTTGGCCTCTCAAAGTGCTGGGATTACAGATGGGAGCCACTGTACCAAGCTACTTTGTATAATTTTTAACATAAATGTAAATGTTTTGAGAACTAGAAATGTTAAAACCCTTGGAGGAAAATGTAAAGTATACAATAGAAAAAAAAATACAAAAAATTATCAATTTTCAGAGGAACAAAAAATATCCAGTTTTTACAATCTTCAGGATTCAATCCCATTATATCAAACATACCAAGAAACATATTCAAAGAAAAAGGCAATCAATCGAGACTGACCTCGAGACGACCGAGATGTTGGAATTAGTATGGATTTTTTAAAGTAGTTATTATAATTCTTACTAAAATCAAAACCCCAAAAACTCTTATAATAAATGGATAGAAAATCACAGCAGAGAAGAAGAAACTACAGTAATAACAAAGCCTCAAGTGGAAATTCTAGAAGTGAAAAATTTTTCAAAATTAAAAAATAATAGTTGTGTTCAGGAGCAGCTTGGAGGTGGTAAAGAGTCAACCTTAAAATACAATTGAAATTATTCAATCTGAAAAATGTGAGCAGTCACGGGTTGAGGTGAGGGAGTTTTCCTTTGGTTAGTGCTTTTAGGTAATCTTGGTTTTTTTTTTTTTTTTATTGATCATTCTTGGGTGTTTCTCGCAGAGGGGGATTTGGCCGGGTCACAGGACAATAGTGGAGGGAAGGTCAGCAGATAAACAAGTGAACAAAGGTCTCTGGTTTTCCTAGGCAGAGGACCCTGCGGCCTTCCGCAGTGTTTGCGTCCCTGGGTACTTGAGAGTAGGGAGTGGTGATGACTCTTAACGAGCATGCTGCCTTCAAGCATCTGTTTAACAAAGCACATCTTGCACCGCCCTTAATCCATTCAACCCTGAGTGGACACAGCACATGTTTCAGAGAGCAAGGGGTTGGGGGTAAGGTCACAGATCAACAGGATCCCAAGGCAGAAGAATTTTTCTTAGTGCAGAACAAAATGAAAAGTCTCCCATGTCTACTTCTTTCTACCCAGACACAGCAACCATCCGATTTCTCAATCTTTTTGATAAGATTACTAGATTGATCTGTCAGGGGCATGCTAAGCCAGAATTTATCTTGGTTTCAGTAGTGCTTTAAACAAAACTCATGATACCCTTGTGTTCAAGACAGAAGAAGAGTGGGCCAAATTAAATATTTAGATGCAGTCATTCTTAACCTCTGTTGCTCTCCCAGTGGTCTAGCTGGGGTTTGTATAAAGTGGAATGGGAGGAACAGGGAAGGAGCCCCCACCTACCCTCTCCCCTTGTCCACTTGTCCTCCTTGACTAGTGGATAAAGTCCACGGGAACAGGCAAGTTATTTTCAATCTGTATCTTCTGTTAAGATCTGTAATCAGTTCTGCTTGCTGGACTGGGGACAGGAACCGAGGGAACATGAGGGTGAACGAGGTGACATGGAGTCCAGGAGCACACTGTGCCTACATGCAGAATGTTTGTGCCAGGAAAGCCAGCAGCAGGCAGATGGTCTCAGATAGCAAGCTAGTGTTGGGAAGCAAGATTCAGTCTCTTGAAGGCGTGTTCCTCAGTGTGTGGTTTGTATCACTTGCTTCAGAATGACCTGGAGTACTTGTTAAAATGCAAATTTTCAGCCCAATCCTAGACCTCCTAAGCCTGCATCTCTACGGATGGGTCTCAGTAGTCGATATTGGAAACGGGCAGGTCCCTAGGAGATGCTTATGCATATAAATTTGAAATGTGTTTAAGGTTTAGGGAGCTGGCAAAAGCAAGGAATAGACCAAGCCCTTGGGTGGGAAGCCTCCACAACGTTGGCACTATTAGCATTCGGGGCGGAAGAGGATTCTGCCACATGCTTCGCAGCATCCCTAGCCTCTACCCTCTAACACCGTATCCCAGTTGTGAAAACCAAAAATGTCCCCTGGGAGGCAAAATAGTCACTAGTTGGGAACCGAAACCACTGCTTTGTATCAGAGTAGTTACTTTGTTCCTAATCCAAGGATCAGAACACACGATGAGAGAAAGTCTAGCTATGGGAACTGGAGTGCCAAGTTGGAGCTAGACCTACAACAAAAGCACCAAAAGCTCCTTTATAGGGCTGATTCCGTGCCTCAGCTACCTAGCTTGTACAAATGCCATGTAACTCTAGATTTGATGACAGAAGGCATTTAAAGGCTAGAACTAGTTAGGGTCTTTCAGATTAGGCCAGCACACAACGTGGACTTTTGACAACATCCAGATGCTTGAACCAAACTCAGTCCTGAGGCAGAATTTCCCGTGGCATCTGATACACAGCCTGGATTTGGAGCACTCACTAGGATTAGATGCCATGGGAATATTGTGTTTAGGAACTCTGAAAGAGACAGGCTTCAACAAAGCAGACCTAAGCAACACGTAGCGTCTTAACTTTTTTTTTTTTTTAACAGAAATGTTCAGAGCACCTTTATTTGTAATAGCCTAGAACTAGAAACAACCCAGATATCCTCCAATGACTGAATGGTTAAACAAACTGTTCTATATCGCCACTATGGAATTTTTTTTTTCTTTATTGTACTTTAAGTTTTAGGGTACATGTGCACAACGGGCAGGTTTGTTACATACGTATACATGTGCCATGTTGGTGTGCTGCACACATTAACTCTTCATTTAACATTAGTTATATCTCATATCGCTATCTCTCCCCCCTCCCCTGACCCCACAGCAGGCCCTGGTGTGTGATGTTCCCCTTCCTGTGTCCAAGTGTTCTCATTGTTCAATTCCCACCAATGAGTGAGAACATGCTGTGTTTGGTTTTTTGTCCTTGCAATAGTTGGCTGAGAATGATGGTTTCCAGCTTCATCCATGTCCCTACAAAGGACATGAACTCATCATTTTTCGTGGCTGCATAGTATTCCATGGTGTATATGTGCCACATTTTCTCAATCCAGTCAATCATTGTTAGACATTTGGGTTGGTTCCAAGTCTTTGCTATTGTGAATAGTGCCACAATAAACATATGTGTGCATGTGTCTTTATAGCAGCATGTTTTATAATCCTTTGGGTATATACCCAGTAATGGGATGGCTGGGTCAAATGGTATTTCTAGTTCTAGATCCCTGAGGAACCACCACACGGACTTCCACAATGGTTGAACTAGTTTACAGTCCCACCAACAGTGTAAAAGTGTTCCTATTTCTCCACATCCTCTCCAGCACCTGTTGTTTCCTGACTTTTTAATGATCACCATTCTAACTGGTGTGAGATGGTATCTCATTGTGGTTTTGATTTGCATTTCTCTGATGGCCAGTGATGATGAGCATTTTTTCATGTGTCTGTTGGCTGCATAAATGTCTTCTTTTGAGAAGTGTCTGTTCATATCCTTTGCCCACTTTTTGATGGGATTGTTTGTTTTTTTTCTTGTAAATTTGAGTTCATTGTAGATTCGGGATATTAGCCCTTTGTCAGATGAGTAGATTGCAAAAATTTTCTCCCATTCTGTAGGTTGCCTGTTCACTCTGATGGTAGTTTCTTTTGCTGTGCAGAAGCTCTTTAGTTTAATTAGATCCCATTTGTCAATCTTGGCTTTTGTTGCCATTGCTTTTGGTGTTTTAGACATGAAGTCCTTGCCTATGCCTATGTCCTGAATGGTATTGCCTAGGTTTTCTTCTAGGGTTTTTATGGTTTTAGGTCTAACATTTAAGTCTTTAATCCATCTTGAATTAATTTTTGTATAAGGTGTAAGGAAGGGATCCAGTTTCAGCTTTCTACATATGTCTGGCCAGTTTTCCCAGCACCATTTGTTAAATAAGGAATCCTTTCCCCATTGCTTGTTTTTGTCAGGTTTGTCAAAGATCAGATGGTTGTAGACATGTGGCATTATTTCTGAGGGCTCTATTCTGTTCCATTGTTCTATATCTCTGTTTTGGTACCAGTACCATGCTGTTTTGGTTACTGTAGCCTTGTAGTATAGTTCGAAGTCAGGTAGCATGATGCCTCCAGCTTTGTTCTTTTGGCTTAGGATTGACTTGGCAATGCAGGCTCTTTTTTGATTCCATATGAACTTTAAAGTATTTTTTTCTATTTCTGTGCAGAAAGTCATTGGTAGCTTGATGGGGATGGCATTGAATCTATAAATTACCTTGGGCAGTATGGCCATTTTCACGGTATTGATTCTTCCTACCAATGAGCATGGAATGTTCTTCCATTTGTTTGTATCCTCTTTTATTTCATTGAGCAGTGGTTTGTATTTCTCCTTAAAGAGGTCCTTCATGTCCCTTGTAAGTTGGAGTCCTAGGTATTTTATTCTCTTTGAAGCAGTTGTGAATGGGAGTTCACTCATGATTTGGCTCTCTGTTAGTCTATTATTGGTGTATAAGAATGCTTGTGATTTTTGCACATTGATTTTGTATCCTGAGACTTTGCTGAAGTTGCTTATCAGCTTAAGCAGATTTTGGGCTGAGATGATGGGGTTTTCTAGATACACAATCATGTCATCTGCAAACAGGGACAATTTGACTTCCTCTTTTCATAATTGAATACCCTTTATTTCCTTCTCCTGCCTGATTGCCCTGGCCAGAACTTCCAACACTATGTTGAATAGGAGTGGTGAGAGAGGGCATCCCTGTCTTGTGCTGGTTTTCAAAGGGAATGCTTCCAGTTTTTGCCCATTCAGTATGCTATTGGCTGTGGGTTTGTCATAGATAGCTCTTACTATTTTGAGATATGTCCCATCAATACCTAATTTTTTGAGAGTTTTTAGCATGAAGGTTTGTTGAATTTTGTCAAAGGCCTTTTCTGCATCTATTGAGATAATCATGTGGTTTTTGTCATTGGTTCTGTTTATATGCTGGATTACATTTATTGATTTGCATATGTTGAGCCAGCCTTGCATCCCAGGGATGAAGCCCACTTGATCATGGTGGATAAGCTTTTTGATGTGCTGCTGGATTCGGTTTGCCAGTATTTTATTGAGGATTTTTGCATCGATGTTTATCAGGGATATTGGTCTAAAATTCTCTTTTTTTGTTGTGTCTCTGCCAGGCTTTGGTATCAGGATGATGCTGGCCTCATAAAATGAGTTAGGGAGGATTCCCTCTTTTTCTATTGATTGGAATAGTTTCAGAAGGAATGGTATGAGCTCCTCCTTGTACCTCTGGTAGAATTAGGCTGTGAATCCATCTGGTCCTGGCCTTTCTTCGGTTGGTAAGCTGTTAATTATTGCCTCAATTACAGAGCCTGTTATTGGTCTATTCAGAGATTCAAGTTCTTCCTGGTTTAGTCTTGGGAGGGTGTATGTGTCCAGGAATTTATCCATTTCTTCTAGATTGTCTAGTTGATTTGCGTAGAGGTGTTTATAGTATTCTCTGATGGTAGTTTGTATTTCTGTGGGATCAGTGGTGATATCCCCTTTATCATTTTTTATTGCACCTATTTGATTCTTCTCTCTTTTCTTCATTAGTCTTGCTAGCAGTCTATCAATTTTGTTGATCTTTTCAAAAAACCAGCTCCTGGATTCATTGAGTTTTTGAAGGGTTTTTTGTGTCTATTTCCTTCAGTTCTGCTCTGATCTTAGTTATTTCTTGCCTTCTGCTAGCTTTTGTATGTGTTTGCTCTTCTCTAGTTCTTTTAATTGTGATGTTAGGGTGTCAATTTTAGATCTTTCCTGCTTTCTCTTGTGGGCATTTAGTGCTATAAATTTCCCTCTACACACTGCTTTGAATGTGTCTCAGAGATTCTGGTATGTTGTGTCTTTGTTCTCGTTGGTTTCAAAGAACATCTTTATTTCTGCCTTCATTTCGTTATGTACCCAGTAGTCATTCAGGAGCAGGTTGTTCAGTTTCCATGTAGTTGAGCAGTTTTGAGTGAGTTTCTTAATCCTGAGTTCTAGTTTGATTGTACTGTGGTCTGAGAGACAGTTTGTTATAATTTCCGTTCTTTTACATTTGCTAAGGAGTGCTTTACTTCCAACTATGTGGTCAATTTTGGAAGAGGTGTGGTGTGGTGCTGAAAAGAATGTATATTCTGTTGATTTGGGGTGGAGAGATCTGTAGATGTCTACTAGATCTGCTTGGTGCAGAGCTGGGTTCAATTCCTGGATATCCTTGTGAACTTTCTGTCTTGTTGATCTGTCTAATGTTGACAGTGGGGTGTTAAAGTCTCCCATTATTATTGTGTGGGAGTCTAAGTCTCTTTGTAGGTCTCTAAGGACTTGCTTTATGAATCTGGGTGCTCCTGTATTGGGTGCATATATATTTAGGATAGTTAGTTCTTCTTGTTGAATTGATCCCTTTACCATTATGTAATGGCCTTGTCTCTTTTGATCTTTGTTGGTTTAAAGTCTGTTTTATCAGATACTAGGATTGCAACCCCTGCCTTTTTTTTTCCATTTGCTTGGTAGATCTTCCTCCATCCCTTTATTTTGAGCCTATGTGTGTCTCTGCATGTGAGATGGGTTTCCTGAGTACAGCACACTGATGGGTCTTGACTCTATCCAATTTGCCAGTCTCTCTCTTTTAATTGGAGCATTTAGCCCATTTACATTTAAGGTTAATATTGTTATGTGTGAATTTGATCCTGTCATTATGATATTAGCTGGTTATTTTGCTCATTAGTTGATGCAGTTTCTTCCTAGCCTCGATGTTCTTTACAATTTGGCATGTTTTTGCAGTGGCTTGTACAGGTTGTTCCTTTCCATGTTTAGTGCTTCCTTCAGGAGCTCTGTTAGGGCAGGCCTGCTGGTGACAAAATCTCTCAGCATTTGCTTGTCTGTAGATTTTATTTCTCTTTCACTTATGAAGCTTAGTTTGGCTAGATATGAAATTCTGGGTTGAAAATTCTTTTAAGAATGTTGAATATTGGCCCCCACTCTCTTCTGGCTTGTAGAGTTTCTGCGGAGAGATCAGCTGTTCGTCTGATGGGCTTCCCTTTGTGGGTAACCCAACCTTTCTCTCTGGCTGCCCTTAACATTTTTTCCTTCAACTTTGGTGAATCTGATAATTATGTGTCTTGGAGTTGCTCTTCTCAAGGAGTATCTTTGTGGCATTCTCTGTATTTCCTGAATTTAAATATTGGCCTGCCTTGCTAGATTGGGGAAGTTCTCCTGGATAATATCCTGCAGAGTGTTTTCCAACTTGGTTTCATTCTCCCCATCACTTTAAGGTACACCAATCAGACATAGATTTGGTCTTTTCACATAGTCCCGTATTTCTTGGAGGCTTTGTTCGTTTCTTTTTATTCTTTTTTCTCTAAACTTCTCGCTTCATTTCATTCATTTGATCTTCCATCACTGATACCCTTTCTTCCAGTTGATCAAATCGGCTACTGAGGCTTGTGCATTCATCACGTAGTTCTCATGCCGTGGTTTTCAGCTCCATCAGGTCCTTTAAGGACTTCTCTGCATTGGTTATTCTAGTTATCCATTTGTCTAATTTTTTTTCAAAGCTTTTAACTTCTTTGCCATTGGTTTGAATTTCCTCCTGTAGCTCGGAGTAGTTTGTCTGAAGCTGCCTTCTCTCAACTCGTCAATGATTCTCCGTCCAGCTTTGTTCCGTTGCTGGTGAGGAGCTGTGTTCCTTTGGAGGAGGAGAGGTGCTCTGATTTTTAGTTTCCAGTTTTTCTGCTCTGTTTTTTCCCCATCTTTGTGGTTTTATCTACCTTTGGTCTTTGATGATGGTGATGTACAGATGGAGTTTTGGTGTGAATGTCCTTTCTGTTAGTTTTCCTTCTAACAGTCAGGACCCTCAGCTGCAGGTCTGTTGGAGTTTACTGGAGGTCCACTCCAGACCGTTTGCCCAGGTATCAGCAGTGGAGGCTGCAGAACAACAGATATTGGTGAACAGCAAATGTTGCTGCCTGATTGTTCCTCTGAAAGTTTTGTCTCAGAGGAGTACCCGGCCATGTGAGGTGTCAGTCTTCCCCTACTGGGGGATGCCTCCCAGTTAGGCTACTCGGGGGTCAGGGACCCACTTGAGGAGGCAGTCTGTCTGTTCTCAGATCTCCAGCTGCTTGCTGGGAGAACCACTACTCTATTCAAAGCTGTCAGACAGGGACATTTAAGTCTGCAGAGTTTTCTGCTGCCTTTTGTTTGGCTATGCCCTGCCCCTAGAGGTGGAGTCTACAGAGGCAGGCAGGCCTCCTTGCGCTGCAGTGGGCTCCACCCAGTTTGAGCTTCCCAGCCACTTTACCTACTCAAGCCTCGGCAATGGCAGGTGCCCCTCTCCCAGCCTCGCTGCCGCCTTGCAGTTTGATCTCAGACTGCTGTGCTAGCAATGAGCGAGGCTCCTTGGGCGCAGGACCCTCCAAGCCGGGCGCAGGATATAATCTCCTGGTGTGCCGTTTGCTAAGAGTGTTGGAAAAGCGCAGTATTAGGGTGGGAGTGGCCCAATTTTCCAGGTGCCGTCTGTCACCCCTTTCTTTGACTAGGAAAGGGAATTCCCTGACCCCTTGTTCTTCCTGGGTAAGGTGATGCCTCGCCCTGCTTTGGCTCATGCTCGGTGCACTGTACCCACTGTCCTGCACCCACTGCCTGACACTCCCCAGTGAGATGAACCTGGTACCTCAGTTGGAAATGAAGAAATCACACGTCTTCTGCATCGCTCACGCTGGGAGCTGTAGACTGGAGCTGTTCCTATTCCCTTACCAGCTTCCATTCCAGCCCACAAGGACAAAGGCATCACATACATATCCACTGTGGCTAACCTGTCCTCAGCAGGGAGTTTCCCCAGTACTACTCTCCCCTCTGTTCTGAGCCTACTTGCTCCTTTGTAATGTTTCTGCTTTCTGTCCCACTCCCTAATAGATGATTTGTCCTCTCTGCCCAGCCCCCTAGTTCTGATATTTGGATTGTCTGTGATCTGGGTAGTACTTAGAAGGTAGAACCAAAGCCTTGTTGATTGGATTGGGAGTTTCTAACTTCTATTAAAGGCACTGATTAAGCATCTATTATATAAAGTAAAGTAAGATTATGATCCAGTAAGACAGATTCCACAAGTAGCGCAGGAAGAATTGGTTTCTAGTACACTTCATGCTTCAGGACAGGAAATCCAGAAAAAAATTCTGTGGTACATTAAGTGTGAACTGTAAGTTTCATTTCCATGTGAAAAACTGTAGTTAGCTAAAAAGTACATCCATGAAGAATCCTGATTAAACTTGTTTAATCCTGGTTAAACTAGCTAAACAATAATTTCACAACTCAAGAACTCTGTAAAAGCATTTCCTCTGAATATTTTATTCAGAAAAAAACACAGAAAGATAAGGCAGAAACAAAAATCCCAGTCACTTGCAGTATCTGTCGGCTTTCAATTTGGCTCTCCTGTTTAAACAAAGAAAAATAAAATTAATCTATGTAAAACATGCCATATATATTCAACTGCTACTAAATATAAAAAGCTTTAAAACTGTGTGTTCAATTTTGGTTATTACCACAACACTTTTATTAAAATATGTATACTTTTAAATTTGGTTTCTATAAAAAATGGATTCTAATCTTATAAAAGTTATTTCCTAATATTCAATAAATGTTGCCTAAGGGCTTTTTCAATCCAAATAGCAATTTTAATTATTCCGGAATTTAAGGCTGCTCTAAATTTCCATTTAACAGGGTGAGAATGCTGTATTATTACAAGTGATAAAAGTTACAGGACATAGAGCTTATTCCGTTTTAGAGTCCACATCCTGATTATATTTTATATCCTCTTCTTGATTTCTTACAATGAGATACATATTCATTTGCTCAGCTGGAAAAAATTCTTAACATTATTTACTGACTTTAGGTATGAACACTACCAGCTAGTTAACAGGAAATACGTAATTAAACATTGCCTTTATCAAGTAATGTAAAAAAAAGGGTAAGAGTAACTTTGCAACATACGACTTGAATGAGCGGCTGGTGATTATCAAAATCTGGCACTTAATTGATTTATACTTGTACACTCACAGCTAAACGTCTCTGTTTTTCTATGTCATAAATCTAGGACATTACTTATCTACCTAGGAAGAGTAATAAATATTAATAATGTGGTATGATAAACATCCTGCACTCTTCCAAATCTTATAATAAAACTGCTTCAATTTCACTTGTTTAGCTTTTATACTTAGTTTTTTAGTTGATCTATTCTTATTTTAAGGAACCTGAACTACTCTAACAGAATCCACATAATTTTTATATTAGTCAAACTGCTTCTAACTCTGGTTCTAATAGTTATAAAAAGATGATAAATTTATGAAGTAGATACAGTCAAACCTGAATTTCTTCAAGTATATACTTAGAATCGGTTATAATTTTTAGATATTCTTTCATGACAGTCTTTTCCCAAACTTACGATGTCCTCTTTAGGTAATATTGCCACACTCATAAATTAGAAATAAAGACAAAAATGTGAAAAACTACAGTAATTTAAGAGAATGTAGGTTTTCTACATGCCATTTCTATTGGCTACTGAAAATAGTGGAAATAAGTAAATAAATAGCTACCTGTCCAGAAGCGTCTCATGCAAAAATCCATCTTTCCGAGCCTTTTTAAGAATTTTACTGTCTTCTTTACTTATTTTAAGTTTGTGGTCTTGGAAGCTCTGAAATTTCTTTCTGTAAAGAAAATGTCTTCATTGAAAAATACCTCAAACTCTGATTATACATATTTACTATTAAATTTATAAATACTGTTAATTTCTTTTTCACTTGTAAAAAAGTCTAATTGTAGGCCAGGCGCAGTGGCTCATGCCTGCAATCCCAGCACTTTGGGAGGCCAAGGCAGGCACATCGCTCAAGGTCAGGAGTTCGAGAACAGCCTGGCCAACATGGTGAAACCCCATCTCTACCAAAAATACAAAAATTAGCCGAGCATAGTGGCACGCGCCTGTAGTCCCAGCTACTCGGGAGGCTGAGGCAGGAGAATCACATGAACCTGGGAAGCGGAGGTTGCGATGAGCCGAGATCGCGCCATGGCACTCTAGTCTGGGGGAGAGAGCGAGACTCCATCTTGGGGGAGAAAAAAAAAGGTCTAATTGTATTTTTTTAAATAAGCTGGAGCTTTTCAACAAAGATGACCTTCATGACCTCTCAAGAGGAGGGCCACTCATTGACTGGGTAGCACAAGGCCCCACTTCTATTAGGGCATGCTGGCTAGAGTCCCCTGTGTCCTGGCCATAGCACAGCCTTTGACTGGCATCACACCCATTCTATGAATGAATAGAGAGATTGACTAACCTGAGTGACTAGCTTTGGGAGGTGGTAGGATGATTAGGAAAACTGAAGCCTCAAGAAAAGAAAAGCATTTAGCTCAGTGCTCTGTCCTAGAGGCTACATTGTGTCGTCTCTTCTTGTCCATCAGTTTCATTTTTTCAGACACGGTCTTGCTCTGCCACCCAGGCTGGAAGGCAGTGGTGATCAGAGCTCACTGCAGCCTTGAACTCCTGGGCTCAAACAATCCTCCTGTCTCAGCCTCCCGAGTAGCTGGGCCTATAGGCATGTACCACCATGCCCAGCTAAGTAGGTAATTTATTTTGAAAGCACTTTGAGAAGCACTTCACTGTCAAATCTGTAGGTCTAAAAGGAAAAGAATACATACACATAATTGATTTCACATTGTTTTACATTTCCTTTGTCTTCTTCTGGAATGTCATCTTTTTTCTTGGTTTCTCTTTCAGCACAGGATCTAATCTAGATATTGGAAAAGAGAATCCAATGGGTTATATGTTTATCTTCCACCTTCCCCACTTTACGTATCACATAAGAACATTCGAGATGATTTCTTATGCAGAAGAAAAAATTAACTGAGCAACTATATTCAGAAAAAGGTTCTGGCTATGTGTTTTTACTTCATATATATAATCTATATGAGTAAGTGCTATCACATGCTTCCTCCACAGCATTGTGTCAGAAACACTACAGACAAAATTATTTCAGAAACATTTTACACATCAGATCCTGCTAGGAAATAAAGCGATCATTAACTAATTTAATTTTGTCCTCCAAGTGAATACACTAGGATCAAATTATCCCTAGTAGACAAGTGTTCATTTGATCGGATTGAAAGCTTAATAGCTATTTTATGTTGCACAGACTATTACCAAAGTATTAAAACTTTTAACATTACACAACTTGTTTTTAACTAATTGGAACCCACCTCTTTTACTAGCTTCTTATATCCTCCTAAGTTTGGATAGATGTTTACTACCACATGTCATAAGTTAATTAATCTGCATTCAACAATTAGGATCACCCACAGAACAGGCAATTAGCAATGGTAAGGACTCATGTCTCCTAAGGGATCTCTGTGGCCAGAGTCCAGTTCCAGGGCTGCTTAGAAAGTGATGACAAATAACGTGTTTGTGCAAATGACATCTTTGTGACAGTTCTGATTAGAGGGGTCCCAGACCTGAAAACATTCCCTGCTAGGGCCTGTAACACAAGGCTACCTTTAGTAAGAGGGATCTGTGTTCTGGTCATAAAGCTGAAGGGCTGACAGAGGTAACACAAGGCTACCTTTAGTAAGAGGGATCTGTGTTCTGGTAGATAAGGCAAGGTCATAAAGGTGAAGGGCTGACAGAGATTAGGAGAGCCTGCAATTAAATGGTAAAGGAAAAGAGTCCTAAATAATCACTGTTCAGAGCTTCCAGGTACTTGACTAACCAAAGAGACCCAGAAAACTTTGTATTTCGTCTGAAAATTGCTTTAAATAGTGAAAAAGGCAATCTTTGTGTAAGTATCTTTGTATCTTTGTATAAGTGCAAAGCACTGCACATATATTTGCAATTGTTGCCTTCAGTAACACTTTTGTGATGATATCCAGATGCAAAATAATTTAAACATGATACAATAAAATATAAATAAATAAAATTAAATGTAAGTCACAAACCCATCTGCATTTCCCCAATGACCTGTTTCCTGAGAAGCAATGTGCTATGAAATATTGAGAGTGGCCTCTGGAGTCAGCTGGGCCTGGGTACACATCCTGTCTTACCACACCTTGAAATCACTGTGATTTCCATGAACTGACTGACAAAAACCACGAGGATGTAAGGAGGGTCAGAGGCTGTCTTCTTGTCTGTAATGCTGAGCTCACATCCACCTCACAGGGGCATTATGGAAATTCAAGACTACAACGCATGTGCTGGGTGCATGCAATGAAAAAATATAACATTTCCCTTCTGTAAGAAAATACCTACATTTTAGATTGAAATTGTTTGAGCTTTAGATTTGAAATTATTTGAAATCAAGACTATTCTAAAAAGAAAATCAAACTTATGACAGGAAATCTAACATGAAGTATGTACAGAGATTTGATAGATGCTTTTAAATTGCACTGGTAGTAGAGAAAAATGTAACATAAATTTTTATGCTCTAATTATAAGAACGAAGGGCATTTTAGAAAAGGCACTTGCCCCCTCTCTTAGAGCCTTCCACTCTGGCCCCCACAATGCCTTACAGAGGAAATCTGGGTCAGACTGGATGCAACCTGTGATTCCCAACAGAGACAAACAAAGCAAGGTTCAGGATGCTCAGTACTGAGATGGAATGCCAAGACACAGAAAAGCCATGTGTCAAGAAGTGGGGAGTTATTCTTTAGACACATCCTGGTATATGTTTATCATTAAAGATCAGTGGCTTCTGTGAGTCTAAAAAATTAAGCCTTAAATGTTTTCATCAGATTCCAATTAACTACTTGATTTATCTAGGTTATATTAACAGTATTATTTAGAATTTCACCTTGATATGAAGATGTCTGTGTAACTTTTACAATGATGTAAAACAAAGAGTAGGATTAGAGAGGGCACAGGCCACTGGTGCAATGGATAACGCGTCTGACTACGGATGAGGGAATTTAGCCTGGAATAAGGAACTTTTATTTCCAGCTTAGTGACGCACACAAATTTTAAAAATAAAATAAAAATCATGTTTTATGTGATTCATGTTTCTCCTAATGCAAAGAAGACGGGTACTATTAATAAAAATATTTTTAAAATCTGAGGGCTAAGGCCCCAGAAGTTCTGCTATGATTTTTTATGTTTCATAGAGTGATTATCATCACAGAAGCTCAAGCATTACGTAAATACAAACGCATATACCCCGACCTGGTAATTCTGCTTCTGGAAATTTACCTTCAGGTCCACCCGCACATCTACAAACTGATGCATATTCAATGTTATGTACTGCAGCACTGTTTATAAGAGCAAAAGACTGGAAACAGCCTAAATTTCCATCTATAAAAGACTAAATAAATTAAGGTACATCCCTGAAATGGAATATTATGTGGCTGTTGAGAGAGAGAGAAAGAGAGGAAAAGCAAGAAAAAGAGAAAACTTTCTACATTCAAACTCATAGTAGAAAACTCTCCAAGATACAATTTTAAGGAAAAAAAAAAATTGAAGTCTAGACTATAGAGGAGGCTACCTTTAGCGTAAAACAGTTGAAAATTATAAACATATTCATATGTTTATAAAGAAATTTTAGGAGGCTATAAAAAAACAAAGGGAAAGACGAACAGGTGCTGGGACACAGGTGAGTAAGACGCATGGCAGGCATACGTCTTCACATGCTTTTATTTGAAAATGTTGGACCACGTGTACATGTTATCTATTTTAAAAATTAGATTTTAAAATACAAGCAAGAAAACAAGAAAATGAAAGCTTAAAAAGAGCATGTGGAACTACCAGAAGAAGATACTAATCCATGGAGATAATGGCAAGGTAGCTCCTAGATGCACTCATTTCTCTACCACATTGTATAAACAAGACATCAACTATGGGATTTATAATTAAAAATGAGTCTATTTGAAACACCACATTATAAAAAGCTATTAAGTAAATCTTTAAAGTGACAGTAAATGACCATTTAACATTTTAAAGAGATACAGTCACATCGCATGTGTGAATGCAGTCATCTGTATAAAATGTCATCATTACCTTGATCATTTCTTCTTCTCCTGCTGTTTTACTTTTTGCTTCTATGTCCCCTGCTTCATTGCATCTAATAAAGCAGCTATTTGAGGCCAACAAAGCCATTTTCCCCTAAGTGAAACAAATAACAAAATAGCCATGAGGATACTTCTTGTGGGAGAAACATTAAGTGTTTAGACTGAATTAATTTTTCCTCCCTGATTTAAAAATCACAGAAAAGAACTTAGAGAAAAACCTGAAAAATATAATACAAGAACATATAGAAAAGAAACCAAAATCACCTATCATTTTACTATTCAAAGATTACCACAATAAACATTTGTAGTGTATCTTCCTAGTAGGACTAAATTCTAAGTAGATGAGGTAGGATTGCTTCCTTTCTAAAAGATCTACTGAAGACATAACTGATTTAGTTCAGTTTGAAAAATTAACTTTAAAGACAAGAACATAATTATGAATGCATACTTTATTCAAATATTAGCATTTTAAGTAAAATTTATTTTCTTCACAATTAGAAAACATGAAAAGGTACATACAATGCTTTGGTGTTTTGAATTTAAGAATCAATGTCTGAGGGACTTTTGTGTGTGAAAATAAATATTCATATACTTTTTTAGTTGTTTAATGTTTGATATATTACACTGCTTTCTATTAAAACTTTAAAGACTGATTTTCTTGTGTATCTAAATCTGGGTTATAAATTTGGTTAGCTTAACTCCCTTAACAAATATAATGTTTATTTATAACTTGTATTTGGTTGATTCTTTTGGAAAACTTGGAATACCATAACATTTAGACAAAATATTTATAAATACAATGATTACAAAATATGTTAACCTTATATCACATCAAGTTAAAAAAGTGCTGATAACATGGATTTAATTTCTTAGTCAAGGTCACAAGGGCTGGGTGGTCTCTCATCTGGATGGCTCCTGGTGAGCCCTGGAACATGGTGGTGTGGTCCAAGACGATTTAAACCTGTGCCACAGATTATTCAGCTGAGTCCCTTTTGCAATAGTTTTAAGACCCTCTTTCATTTAAATTTAAATTTTTGAAACTTAGTGTCCTTCCTAAAAATAAAATGAAACGAACTTTCCTAAAGTGTTGTATTATTAGTACTATCTAAGTCATCATCTAAGGCCTTATGATATATTGGCCTTTTCTACCGGTGTAACTTTTATTAGAAGTATCTCATCCTAACTAGTAGGATCATCTCAAAGGGGTTGCAACACATTAGCGGGTCATGAAATCAATGTAGTGTTGTTTCCTGTACGGTATGGGGGGCGGGGGAAGGAATACACACAGACTCACAGAGGAAGGGGTAAAAGAGAATAAGAAATATCAAGGTGCATAACACATGGATAAGTAAGTATTGTTAAGTACAACTCTTGCTTCAGTTATACATGTGTGCTGGGCTGCAATGTAAAAATGCATTTCTCAATGGGTTGGGCCAAAATAGTTTTCAAGTCACTGAGTTAAGATTTTATCCTAGGGGATGAGGAAATTAGTCTAAGTGATTACCTCTTTCTGGAGGGATGTTTGTTTAATCTGTCATCTTAGAAAACACTGCTGAGTTCCTATTTTCAATTCATTAGTGTATACTACCAAAGCTGCTACTCAAAGGCTAAGCTTATCTTCTATTTGCTTGCTCTGCGTGGTGCCCATTGGTCCTTACTGTTTTTGATAAAGTTATCTACTTTTTAAAGACTGTTTAGCACTCACATATTTTTGTTCAATCTTTACTTCTCACACAAACAGAAAAAGGAAATTATGTATTCTGTGTCAACAAAGATTTAACAAAACATCCATATACAACTGTCTACTTACTAAAATTAAGAATTAGTATATTATCTTTTTTCTTCTTATATTAAAACTATCTTTTCGTATGCTATTTTAAGCTTATGAACTGAAAGTCTTTTAGAGATAATTTACTTCAATGAACTATTATTATTTATTTTATGCACAAATTGTCACAACTTGGTCTTAGCAAGCTCCACTGT
The DNA here is from genome assembly GCF_000001405.40 of Homo sapiens. Classification (NCBI taxonomy): domain Eukaryota; kingdom Metazoa; phylum Chordata; class Mammalia; order Primates; family Hominidae; genus Homo; species Homo sapiens. The sequence continues at coordinate 48,438 of NW_015495301.1, read as the reverse complement.
TCGCTTACAGTCTCTAATGTTTCTGAAAGCATCCATGATTTCTGCTACAAAGATACTTAGGAACTACTCTGTTTTCCTACTCTGAGACCTAAAATTGACTGGTTCTTCAATGGAAATGAGATCCATATCTAGGCACTAAGGGTATACAGAAATAATTGTGGGCAAAAGGACTAATGCGATTTTTGTTGCACTATATTTTGAGATCTCTTTAAGGCTCTATGTTCTTATTGATTTATTCCTATTTAATGTATTACACTATTGCATCCTACTTTTTCTTTTTAAATATATTATGATTGACTGTTAACAGACTTTCTGTTAAACTGACAGGAAGTTTTTATAAACAATAACAGCACTTACATTTTGAAAGACTGGTTCCCATTGTTCTCTTGGTCCAATTGCATCTGAACGCCCAACAACAAGTCCATCTGAATTTATACCAAGATATTTTCCATAGCCAGACTTCAGGGCGATTCTGTACATTAATAACATAGATAAAAGTTAAAGACTGAGAGAAAATTAATTATAGGACATCAAAACAGGACATGCGTATGTGTGTGGCTGTGTACATATCTAAAATTTCAGACTGCACATATTCCAAGTCTTCAAAAGCTGCATGTGGCTGAGTGGTGACTCACTCCTGTAATCTCTGTGCTTTGGGAAGCCAACGGGAGAATTGCTTGAGGCAAGAAGTTCAAGATCAGCCTGGACAACACAGTGAGACCCCATCTCTACAAAAAATTTAAAAAGTTAGCTGGGCATGGCGGCATGCACATGTGATACCAGCTACTTGGGAGGCTGACGCAGGAGGATTGCTTGAGCCCAGAAATTTGAGGTTATAGTGAGATACGGTCACACCACTGCACTCCAGCCTGGGTGACAGAGTGAGACTCTGTGCCTTTAAAAAAAAAAAAAAGAAAAAAGCTACATGTGACTAGTTGCTGCCATGTTGGACAGTGCAGTTTTAAATTTAGTTTTATATTGTGCTTTTTTAATATAAACATTGTACCTTATATATTACATAACAAATATTTTTGAAATTCATCATTCTTCAATTATACCTCTTTAGTTATAAAGTTCAAGAATAAATTACTAAAACTTACTTTTTCTCTTATTATAAATAGTTCTATGTACATCTATTCTGTACATAAAACTGCTTTATCCTTAGAAAAAATTCCTAGAAATAACTGGATCGAAGAGTATAAAGTTCTTATGTCATCAAACTGTTTTCCAGAAAATGCTGCTTCCATTTACATTCTTACCTCAAATTAACAGAGTATGTTTTGTATCACGCATTTTTTTTTAAACATTATGACTTTAAAAAAATACTTGAAAACCTGATATGGAAAAAACAGTATCCTATAAATTTGCATTTTAGTAGTTAACTAGAATAACAATTGTTTTTCTTTTCCTTTCCTTTTTAGTTTTTAGATTATCTGGTAATGTCCCTTGTCCATTTTTCTATTGAGATCTGATTGTTCGCAGTTTTTCTACTGGGGTCATCAGTGCTATGAATTCTATACAAGATACATATGAAGAGTAAGAACTCACTGCCTATTAAGATTGTTGCAAATATTTTCCTCATTTGTCAGTTAATTTTCTTTATAATCCTTTTTTGTTTATAATTGTAAAGCAGTTTAAAACTATTGAATTTTTTCTTCCTCTGCTTTTATTCTGTCTTTCACCATACTTATCAGACTTTCAAAGAAAGTACAGAAATAATCATCTTAATGTGATTTTTTAAAATTATGATTTCTAATCTTTTACCTTACCGAGAATCTCCTGGGATGCCAGAATTGACTTTTACTCCTTTATACATTAATGATTATATAACAGAAATCATTATCATATTGATGTAACCAATTACTAAAATATGTAAATTCACTTTCAGTATCTTCTGCCCAAAGAATCGTTCTATACTTTTGCACAAGGTGAGAATAAAAAAGGTTACTTTATAAAATGACTGTAAAAATAGTGAGTAAAAATATTCTTTTGGTCGTTATGATTCTGTAACATTCTCTGCTGGTTTCAACAATATTCCTTTTTTTAGTCTTCCTGTTTGCCTTTGGACTTCCAAACAGTGAGTTTAAATATCACAGCAACAGTGAACCAGGTTTTGTACTATTTGATTCATTTTTTAATCTATCTTATTCGGTATGTGAAATTATTAATCTTCACTTTTTAACTTATTTTTTTTCCAGCCTAGCATTATATATTGATAGGAAATCCATTAAAAGTAGATCACAAAATCTACTTTTCAAAAAAGCTATTTTGTTTTTTACATCAAAATTACCCTGTGGGCTTAAGACAGATACTAAAATTTTTAATGAATACAATTAAATTTTTAAAATAACTGGTTACTAATTATATTACAACATAAGCTCACCTGGAATCAGATAATTTGACAGCCGTAAACTGCTCTGGAGGACTAGGGCCCTCATCAACTATTGGAGAAAAAACATTTGAAAATAAATTTGACATTTGCTATAAATATAAAGACATTATTTTGTTTTAAAAAATGTGGCTATTTTCTTCTGCAATTAAATGTAAGAATATTCAGATATACTGATGTCACTGTAATACTGTATCTTTGGAATCAAGATCTATTTTACCTTCTTTTAACTACAGTGTTAATTTTATACACTGAGTAAGACAGGGTGATATAATGCTTATTTAATAACTTTTGAGATAGCTTCTCTTTATGTTTTAAAATACAGTCATAAATAAGCACTTATTTAAAAAGCTAAATGCTTTCACTTATTCAAGGGATGGCCTTGCTGACCAAATGATACTGCTTTTTATCTTCTAATTACTTCATATCTCATTAGTGCTTCCTCTAATGGGCTAAAGAAAATGAGGAAACTTCAAACTGTTAAACGCACCCAGGTTAGTTTTGGCAATAGGTCTGAATAAAAAAGAAATTCAAACATTTTGACTCAAATAGGTTTTCTTTTTTCTTTCCACTTACTATTTTAATTATTCATGTTATTTTGATTTCCAAAGATACTCTTCTGGAACTATACGGAATGTTTTCAAATGCTTATATTAGAAAGAGGGACTTGCCAATGGCTGGTAAATATTAAGGAATTAAAAAAAAATGGAAGAGTCAAATGCAATGGTTCCATTCCTTTGGAAAATGTTTGAGACTAGTTAGAGTTTGGCCTAAGTGAATGAATGTCCTAAAATCTACACTTGTGGCAGCCTCTTCCCTTCCAGACACAAACCTTCTTTGTGTGGAGCTCCCAGGGTAAAAAGACCATTGTCGAGTGCATGTATATAGGTTCCCTTATCCATTTCAATGGCTATGGTTCCTGAAATTTCACCAAAGTTTGTTACTGTCCACCAGATTCCTAAAAAATAAAATCAATATTTCAACTTTATATTTTAGTTTTGACACAGAGTTCTTTTTTTTGTTATTATAACTTAATTTTAAAAACTTCTTATTTTGCAGTTGTAAGAAATAATACAAAGATCTCACATATTCTTTACTCACTTTGTCTCGATTAAATCTTGCATAAGTATCATACACTGTCAGAATCAGGAAACTGAAATTGATATAATCCATGAAGCTTATTCAGATTTCACCAGTTTTACATGTACTTGTTTGCATGTATGTGCAGAGATTCATGCGACTACCAGCACAGTCAGGATTAGGTTTTTAAAACATAAAATAGCAACATACAGCCAGGCATGGGGGTGCATGCCTGTAATCTCAGCTACTCGGGGAGCTGGGGAAAGAGGATCACTTGAGCCCAGAGTTCAACGTTATAGTGAGCTATGATCATGCCACTGCACTCTAGCCTGAGTGACAGAGCAAGGTCCTGTCTCAAAAAAAGACCAAAACAAAACAAGAGGCAACATGTGAAGGTACAAAGTGACATATAGAGAATGGTCTCTCTCATGATAGACCCCAGTCATCTATTTCATGCCTGCTTTCCAGAGCCAATGCCTATCATAATGTTTCTTAAAAATGCCTCTACAGGAAGACTTTCTAGCATAGCAATCTTTTTTTTTTTTTTTTTGAGACGGAGACTCGCTCTGTCGCCCAGGCTGGAGTGCAGTGATGCGATCTCGGCTCACTGCGACCTCTGCCTCCCGGGTTCAAACAATTCTCTGCCTCAGCTTCCCGAGTAGCTGGGGTTACAGGCGCCTATCACCATGCCTGAATAATTTTTTTTGTATTTTTAGTAGACACGGGGTTTCACCACATTGGCCAGGCTGGTCTCAAACTCCCGACCTCGTGATCCACCCGCCTCTGCCTCCCAAAGTGCTGGGATTACAGGTGTGAGCCACCGCGCCTGGCCAGTAATCTTAACTATGATTTTAGATTGAAAGTAAAATGAGCAGAATCTATGTCTATGTATACTAATTTCCAATTTGCCAATAGAAATATTAGACTCTAGGAACAATTATTTAAGCCGTTGTTATAAAAGTTTATATCTTAATGTTAAAAAATATCCTCAAACCTCCTCCTAAATTGTACTTTAGCTAGAGTAGAAATGAGTCAATCATTAACTGGATATGACATATTAAGGAATTCTTGTTAATTTTACAAGGTCTGATAATGACATAGTATAATATATAAAAATAAAGAACAAAACAGGTGATGACAGAAAGACATACCACGTTAAGAAATGTACGTTTATGTACTCATGGGTAAAATGACATAACATCTGTGATTTTACTTAAAATTTTCTAAGAAAAAATGTGTGTGGGGGCATGTGTGTAAATGAAATGAGATTGGCAAAATATTGATAATTAATGCTGGGGCCTGGGCACATGGGGGACTCATTATATTCTTCTATGTATGGAATAGTTTGGATATTTCCATAATAAAAAGGTTTTAAAGATTCAGTTAATTCCACTGCACAAAATTTTCTATTCAACTAAACATTTCATGCTTTCCATAATAAATTTTAAAATACATAAAATTTTAGCTAAAATGAAGTTGGACCCTTATCTAATGCCAAATACAAAAAGTAACTTAAAACAGACCAAAGACCTAAATGTAAGAGCTAAAGTTAGAAAACTTTTAGAAGAAAATGGGAAAAGCTTCACGACATGAATTTGGCAATGATTTCTTATGTAGAACATCAAAGGCACAGGCAACAAAAGAAAACGTGGACAAACTGGACTTCATCAGAATTAAAAACTTTTGTGCATCAAGAACCGCCATCAACAGAGTAAAAGGCAACCCAGGGAATGGAGAAAATATTTGTAAACTACATACATTATAAGGAATTAATATCCAGACTATATAGAGAACTCCAAAAAGACAAATACCACAATTCAAAACTGGGCAAAGGATATACACGGACATTGCTCCAAAGATGATATACAAATGGCCAATAAGCACTTGAAAAGACGCTCAACATCACTAGTCACTAGGGAAATATAAATCAAAACCATAATGCAATACCACTTCACACCCATTAGAATAGCTATTATCAAAACAAACAAACAAACAAAAAACAGAAACCAAGAAAGCCAGAAAAACAAATGTTGGGCAGGATGTGGAGAAACGGAAACCCTGTGCAATGCTGGTGGGAAGGTAAAATGGTGCATGTATTTAAATGCCACTGAAGCATACACGTAAAAATAGAAAAACTGGCAAATTCTATATTCTGTATATTTTACCTCCACACACACACAAAACCAATGGAGAAAAAGAAAATTAATCAAAATTAAAATTTCAGCTAAAGACAATTAAAAAGAAATAAAACTAATAAGCAATTTAGATGATTGAATTATAGCTACAATTGTTTTCAGGAAAAGAAATAATGCTTTATTCAGAATCATTATCAACAGTGTTATGATTAGCAAGTCTTTCTTATAAATATAATAGTTAATGATTTTAAATTAGATTTATTTTGTATGTTCTATGCCACATTGACCAAGTACACTTAATATTAAATAAAATCATTTAAATATAATAACTCATTAATGTTTTGCAAATGAAGAAGAAATTTCTGGCAGACAAGCTCCTTAAAATTTTCACACTCTGTCCAAGTAGGGAAATGATACAATAACGTTACTTTAATATTGTCAACTGAAAAAGAAATTACTTTGAGCAGATGCCAGTATTTTTTCTCAATGCAATTTCAAAGAATAAGAAATATAAACACAGTATCATCAAGAATTAAATGTGAGCATTCTGCCTACTTTCTGCAAGTGGCCTACATTCAACCTTTGGAGGTATGCTTATATGTTTATCGACTAAAGTAACATAACATAATACTTAATGGTGCCACTCTGGGGTTTTAGCTGTGAGAAAGCAGTGGATCCTATGAACACGGGCACTGAAGTTGCCTGTCTCTACGTCAGGTGACAGCTCAAGCTGTGTATATGGTGCAGATGCCCAAGCTGAATTTAAGAGAATCCGCTCTAAAACATTACTTGCTATTTAGACACATGCTTAAAGTTATTTCCTTTTAAACCTTAGGCAGATGGTGAAATATTCCTGCTGTGTTGTCTCACAATGCATGAGAAAGCTTTACACATATTGTCACATAGTTTAGAATGTTTACATATGTCTGGCATGCCTGTAATCCAGCACTTTGAGAGGTGGAAGCAGGAGAATCACTTTAGCCCAGGAGTTCAAAATCAGCCTAGGCAACAAAAGGAGACCCCCATCTCTACAAAAAAATTAAGAAATTAGCTGGGTGTGGTGGTACGAGCCTGTGGTCCCAGCTACTCGGGAGTCGGAGGTGAGAGGATTGCTTGAGCCTACGAGGTCGAGGGTGCACTGAGCCACGATCATGTCACTGCACTCCAGCCTGAGCAACAAAGCAAGAGCCTGTCTCAAAAAAAACAAAACAAAAAAATGGCCCAATGCACCAGTGTCATGGCTGATAAGATAGTACCAGGGCACCCTCATTCTAGCATCAAGGCTGTGTGACAGCTCACCTCACCTTCTGACTAACCCAGTGCTTCCGTGCTAAGGGCCCCCTTAAATCTCTACTATCATTATGTGCTTGGCACAAAGGAATGATATATCTTAGATTTGGAAATGGAATTTTCTTCCCCAATCTTACTGTAGTCTAAGTACCCTTCACAGACCTTCTATTAATCCACAGCTGACTTAGCTTTAGTTCCTGGGTAAATAAAATATATGTGTTTTGCAAAGTACGATGTTGTAAGTCCAACTGCTTCTGAATCTAGCAGAGCTCAGTGAAACTCTTTGCCTACAGACATGCTCGTTTTTATTAATGTCACACTTGGTTTTCTCCATGTGAAAGACAGAATTTCTTTCATCCTATTTACCAATCCCTTCAGATCCTTGTGAGGAACCAACAGAACAGCTTTAAAAAATTAAAAGGTTTTTTTTCTTTCCCTTCACAAATAGGCACATGCTTACTTATACGGCAAGTTTAGAAAATCCACAATGCAAAACCATGTGGAAGGACAAAGAGAAAAAGACGCAGAAGGACTTCCTCTTCCAGCCAAGATGGACTTGCCCTCCCACCATGACCAACGAGAAAACTGAAACTGGATAGAATATTTGAGAAAACTGTTTTCAGAGATTGGAACACAGGCAGAACAGGACTGTGATATTTGAGAACAGGAAAACACTGGAGGCAAATCTCATACACACTTGTGTTTTCTGCCCAATGGCAGTTTCTTGACCACACGGAGAGAGGTAGAGACCTCCAGAAATGAGGCAATGTCACTGTCACTAAGCTGAGAGTCTTACAGTGCTAACATGTTGGGAGTTTATAGAATAAGGTACTGGAGAAGAGGGAACTACATACAGGTGAGGCCTCAAAAGAGTACGCAAAAGTTCTCTGCAGGTCTGTGGCCAAGGGCTGGGGGGAGTGCATGCAGCAGGCAGGCTCCACAAGGCCTCTGCAGAGTGGCTGGCACTTCTGAGGGCTGACTGGAGATGCCAGAGATCACACAAATTTGGGACACAGCAGAGTGGAGAGAACTCACTAAGTATACCTAGAACATGTGGCTGAGGCCCATGAGGATGAACCTTTCCTAGACTAAGAGTCACTGTCTAAGTCTACGAGCAAAACCCTAATAAATAAGCACAAACTAACAAAGGCCCAGGCTTGACAGGAGCAAAAGGGTGGTCAAATAATTTGACTAGGCATCAAGACATTTAACAGAAATAAGGTTAAAATGTTATGAAAATGAAAGACTGAATTTATAAGGAAGACTTAACAATCCTAAATGTGTACACATGACGGCTTCAAAATACTTTAAGCAAAAACTGCTCAAGTAGACAGATCTAGAATTACCGCTGGAGATTTTAACATAACTATCAATACACTGTAGCATTAGTAAAAAATCAGTAAGGACACAGAAGATATGCATAGTCACAAGCTCTACCAGTTGATCTAACAGACATCTAAAGAACACTGAACTGGCCGGGCACCGCGGCTCACGCCTGGATCCCGCCGAGGCGGGAGGATCACCTGAGGTCAGGAGTTTGAGACCAGCTTGGTCAACGTGGTGAAACCCTGTCTCTACTAAAAATATTTAAAAAATTAGCCGGGTGTGGTGGCAGGTGCCTGTAATTCCAGTTACTCCGGAGGCTGAGGCAGGAGATTCACTTGAACCTGGGAGGCGGAGGTTGCAGTGAGCCGAGATTGCACCACTGCACTCCAGCCTGTTGGGCAACAGCGAGACTCCATCTCCAAAAAAACAAACAAACAAACAAACAAAAAACCCTGAACCAACATCTGCAGAATACACATTCAAGTCTACATGGAAATTCACTAAGAAAGTATGTTCTCCAACTATACTATAAATGAATTAGAAATCAGCAACAATAACATACCTATAATATCTCTATGTAGTAGAAATTAAAAACAATATACTTTTAAATAACTCACGTGTCCATGAAAAGAAAAATCACAAGGAAAACTAGATGATATTTTGAATGGAATGAAAATGAAAACAAAATGTGTTGACTATAACTGAAACTAAAGTGGAATGAAGAGATCTAACTCCCTTCCTAAGAAGCAATAAAACAAGAGCAAAGTAAACTGAAAATAAGTTAAAGGGAGGAAAAAAATAAAAGACTGAAAATAAATGAAATAGAAAATGAAAAAAAGAGAAAATAAGTAATATTGAAACAGGCTTGTCCAACCTGAGGGCCACATGTGGCCCAGGCCAGCTGTGAATGCAGCCCAACACAAATTCATAAACTTTCTTGAAATATTATGAGATTTTTTTGCTTTTTTTTTTTTTTTGGCTTATCAGCTTATCGTTAGTGTATTTTATGTGTGGCCCAAGACAATTCCTCTCCTTTCATTGTGGCCCAGGGAAGCTAAAAGATTGAATACACCTGTACTAAACGATCATTAACGATCTAAAATAAATGATCTTGTAAAGAATTGAGAAACCTCCAGCTAGACTGACTGATCCAGGAAAACATAGCAAAAACACAAATTACCAATATGAAGAGACTGCAATACAGATGAGATTCTACGGACATTAAAAGCATATTAAAGGAATATTCTGAACAATTCTATGCCAATAAATCCAACAACTTAGATGAAATTTTCTTAAAAGACACAAATTGCCAAAACTGACACAACAGAAAAATCTGAAAATATCTCTTAAAAAATTTTAATTTTCCCACAAAAAACTAAAACCAAACCAAACAAAACCCTCCGGGTTCAGCTGACTTCACTGGTGAATTCTATCAAACATGTAAAGAACAACTCATACCCATCTCTACACAGCTATTTCCAAAAATAGGAAAGGAGACAGCACTTTCCATCTAATTTTGTGACACCCAGTATCACCTTGACACCAAAATCAAAAAAAGACATTACAAGAAAAGGATACAAAAGTCCAATATCTCCCATCAACACCAATATAGAAATCTTAAAAAAAAACAAAAAACACAAACACCTAGAAATCAAATCTAGCAATATCCCAAAGGACAACGCACCACAACCAAGTGGGGTTTATCTCAGGGATGTAAAGTTAGTTTAAAAGTTGAAAATGAAACCAATATAATCCACTGGCAGAATGAAGAAAGCTGTATAATCATCTCAACAGATACAGAAAGAGGCATCTGACAGCATTAAACATCGTTATGATAAAAACTCCCAAGAAACAAAGTTTTAAAAGGAATGTCCTCATTTTGATAAAAGTTTTCTCTGCAGATCCTACAGACGTCATACCATATGGTGGACTACTGAAAGCTTTCTGCCTAAGCTTGAGAGCAATGCAATTATGCCCATTCTCATGACTTCTGTTCAATGCTATAGAAGTCCTGGACAGTATAATAAACCAATAAAAAGAAAGACAAGACAAAAGGATTAGAAAGAAAGAAGTAAAACGATAGTCACAGGAAACATAATTGCAAATTTCTTAGTTTTCTATATAAGCAAACCACTAGAAGTAATAAGTGAAACAGACTTAGACTACAAAGTCACTATACAAAAATCAATTGTATATCTACATACTGACAGCAAACAACTGGAAAATCAAATTCAAAGGTTCTATTGACAGTAATGTAAAATTATAAAATACTTAAGAATAAATGTTTAAACAGGCATGCAAGATGGCTACATTGAAAATTATGAAATATTGAGGCCCAATATTAAGATGTTGATCTCCCCCAAATGATCTGGACTCAATACAGTTCTCGAGAAAATCCAACAAACTTCACTGCAGAAATTAATAAATTAACAGTTAATAAGTACAAAGTCGGAGGACTCACACTACCTGATCTCAAGACTTCATGAAATTATAGCAATCAAGAGAAATATACCAACAGAAAAACAGACAAACGTATCGATAGAACAGAGTCCAGAAACAGACCAATACATAGAAAGTTAATTGATTTTTTATGAAGATACCAAAGTGGATTAATGGAAAAAGGAAACACCAGTGGTGCTGGCACAACTGGCTATCAAGATGTTTAAAAAAAAAAAGTAAATCTTGAAACCGAACTCACAACATCATGCCAAAATTTAATTTGAGATGAATGACAGATTTAATGTAAAAACTAAAACTATGATGCCTCTAAAAGACAATGTAGAATATTTTCCTGACTTTGGGGTAAGCAAAGATCTCTTAGATCAAAGACATAAGACAGTAACCATAAAAGAAAAAAAAAATAAACTGAGCTTTATAAAAATTAAAAGCTTCTGACCATCCTGGCTAACATGGTGAAACCCTGTTGCTACTAAAAACACAAAAAATTAGCCGGGTGTGGTGGCAGGCACCTGCACTCCCAGCTACTCGGGAGGCTGAGGCAGCAGAATGGCATGAACCCGGGAGGTGGAGCTTGCAGTGAACCGAGATCGCATCACTGCATTCCAGCTTGGGAGACAGAGTGAGAATTTGTCTCAAAAAAAAGCTGCTCATCCAAAAACCACCATTAAGAAACTGAAAAGGTAAAACTCAGACTGGGAGAAAAGACTGATAACACCATCAACTCTTGGCAAGGATGTAACTGGAGCACTAATTCATTCTTGGTAGGAGGGTAAAATGGCACAACCACTTTAGAAAACTTTTGGCATTTTCTTATATAGTTAAACATTCACCTATCCTTTGACACAGCAATTCCACATCTACATATCTACCCTAGATATTTACCCTAATTTTAGAATTGTTGATTTGCCATTTTGAAAGCAATGATTCTTCCAGAACATTAGCTTTATACCATTCCATATTTTATATATTAAGTTACCATAATTTATGAAGATTCAAAATGCAACTTGCCAAGTTTTAAAAGAGAAAAAAATATGTATGGAAAAGAACTAAACGGAAAACAGGCTGGTTAAGTGTGTTTAGGTCAGTTTATTTCTAGTATCATTTACAGGCTACCCTGATGTTGTATTTAAAATTTTCATTCATTTCAGAGTTCACAAAATAATGATTTTTCCTGTGAAGATACTTCCTTTAAGAGACAACCGACTTCTACAATTAAAATGCATACATGTGCAAAGAAAATAACTTGTAAAAGATATTTGGTTGAATAACATTTACATTAGGCCTTTAAAATTATGTATTAGAATCTCTGGCTATTAAGCAGTCTAATGGTGCCTACTAAGTCAGAGAGTTATAATTTTTCTCTCCTGATAATGAAGTAAAGGCATCAGTAGCATCTACTGTGTTAAAGAATAAATGGAATTTATAACTGTAGGTAATATTTAAGCACTTTAAGACAAATATGAATACATCATAAATTTCTAACTAGGAAAACACTTTCAAGGAGATCTCAAGAAACATTAACTTTTTTCAGAATAGAGCACTGAAAACTGACTCACCAACAATATCAAGCTGGGTTTCTTCATCTTCTTCTCTTTTTCTTTTCTTATCTTTGCTCTTTTTCTTCTTACTACAGGACATAATTTATATAGACGAGTTTAGGTATATTGATTTGTACGATAAATATTGTAAGATTGAAACTTGAAAGTCTTTTAAGCTGTTTCATTTATAAATTATTGATTTAGGAAGACTTACATTGATATGCCCTCTTAAATACAGTACTGAGAAGTTGCTTCAGGCTTTGCACATATTACGTTAGAGTTCAAAGCAGATTGTAGAGCCACACTGCCAGATTTTAAATCCTGATTCTTTCACTTCTTAGCTCCGTGATTTTTGGAAAAGGTACTGAATCTCTCTGAGTCAGTTTCCCCACTTAAAAAATTAGGATAGTAACTTAACCTAACTCTTAAGGCTATTGTGAGGATTAAGAGGTAATATGTACCTTCACACATTCCTGGTGGAAATGTAAAATGGTGCAGCATCTACAGGAAACAGTTTGGGGTTCCTCAAAAAGTTAAAGTTACCACATGACCCAGCAATTTTACTCCTAAGTATGTATACCCAAGGGAAATGAAAACATACACCCACAAAAATACTTACATAAGAATATTCACACTAGCATTAGTCACAATAGCCAAAAAGGGGAAACAACCCAAATGTTCATCAGTTGATGAATGGATGAACAAAATGATACATCCATACAATGGAATACTATGCAGCCATAAAAAGGAACAGGCGCTACAACAATGATGAACCTCAATAATGTTATAAGTGAAAGGAGCCAGATACAAAAGGCCACATGTTGCATGATTTCTTAGGAAATATTCAGAATAGGCGATTTCACATAGAGAGCGGATTAGTGGTTGCCAAGGACTAGGAGAGGGGGAGGATGGGATGTGACTGCTTTAATGGGTAGGGGGAGATTTCCTTCTGAGATGATGAAAATGCTGAGCAACTAGACAGTGGTGAACCTCTTGAATATATACTAAAAACCCCTGACTGTACAAAAGGGTGAATTTTATAATTATGAATTATATCTCAATAAAAAAATAAAAAACCAAGAGTGATTTGAAAAAAAGTTAATGTGCAAAGTGCCTACAACAATTTCTTGGCACATTGACAGTGCTATATGAGCATTAATTATGATTATTACGATGATCTTAAGACACCCGTGTCTGCATTTTCATTATAAAGTTTTCAGAAGATAACTCTCCTCTCCTCCCAGGAAATTCACAGAGTAAAAATCTCACATTCATTCAGGATAAACCTGCCATTTATTCTGGCATCTTCATGAGGCCAGACTCCTCGAGAGGGTTCTCAAGGCCAGTGGCTTCAACTCACTCCTTGATACTTTCTATCTCGCCTAAAAATATCAAAACCTCTGTTTATCACGGAGACCAGGAGGAAATACTCGACATTTGTATGTACCTCGGGCAAATCTGCCAGTTAAAAAAGAAGCGGGGATATGAGTGCACAGGTATTTTTTCCTAAAAAGCTAATAAATTACCATTACGACCTCCTCCTCACATTTGGCTCAATTTATTTTCTGCATATATGTTCTCTCATTTAATCCTCACAGTCTTCTAAAAGTATAAAAAACGTCTGAAAGTATAAATGTGTAAACGGAGGTTCAGATATTTGATCTCTTAATGAGTAAATGGAAGTTCAGACATATTAACCAATTTGCCACAAATTACAAAACTAGTAAATGACAAGAGTGCAGGTTCGAGCCCATATCCCTAAAGCCCATATACACCTCAACCACTGTGTGATTCATCCTGGTTTCACTGTACATATTAGATTAGAAAAAATTAATAAGTTTTCTAGAAAGAAAAGAGACAATGGAGAAAATAATAATCCCTAATAAAGGAAATTATCATGAACTACGAGATCAGACTAATGCAGACCCCCCAGGCAGAGGCCTGGAGAGATGCCTCAGGGGACCCAAACTCGTGGGTACGGGGTCACGGGTCACCTGCCCGTCTATCCTGTTTCCAGGGTCGTCCGCGCGGGAGGCTGCCCCTCTCTGCACAGACGCCGGGAACCGCGGCCCGGCCTCCGTCCAGCCCGGACAGGGGCCAGGGCGAAGCCTGGGAGGCCACAAAGCCGGCTCTCCGCGCCACGGCTTCCACCGGAGTTGCGGGGGTGGAGTGCGTCCGAAAAGAACGGAGGAGGCTCCCGCCCAAGCTGCAGGACCCACCTCTTCGTCTTGGTTCCCTTGAGCACGAGCTTGGTAGACTTCACGTAGGAGTACTCGGCCATGGCTCCGGGAAACTTCTGCGCGGAGAGGCTGAGGCCGGTTCTGGACGAGTATGTGAGTCGGGGCAGCACAGGGGCGCGGAGAAACAGAAGCGGACGCGAAATAAACACTCCCTGACAGCCTACGTCTCTGTAGAACCCGCCTCCGTCTTCACCCAAACGCTGAATGGCTCAGAGTTCCACTTCCGGGTTTCTGCCGGGGAGCTACGGCGGCCGCAGAGGGCCAAAAGGCATCCGCGCGCAGCTGCTCCCTGGCGCCCTCTCAAGGAGCCCCTGAGGATTCGCGCCTCCCGGAAGGGAGAAAAGCCCGCCCGAGGCGCGGTGCTGACGGTGGCTGGGCTGCCGGGTGCGCTGTGGAACCGCCTCCTGCTAGAGCAGCGGGCTGGCGACGGTCCTCGCCGGGGCGGGAAGCGGCTCAGGCTGCCCTCGCTGGCCTGCGGCGGCGCGGCTGGAAGCGCGGGCCACTCGTGCGTGGGTCACTCAGGACTGCGCCTCGCGCGACTGTGTGTGCAGGAAACAAGCAGGAAATACCCTAAAAGAGAATGAAGCGCCATGTTGAGGGTCGCGGACGTCGCGAGTGCTGTGGGAATGTGGGCTGAGGTGGAGAGTTATGGTAGCCCGTGTTACAGGCTCAGGGGTCTGAAAGAAGCCTAATCGTGGAGGCGGCATCTGAGGAGGGTCTTGAAGGCTGGGCAGGCATTTGCCCGACAGAGATGGAGGAAGCTAGTCCTGTCTGATGGAGGAAACAGGGCGGAGGCGTGGAGGGAGCCGTGCAGCGCTGGTGTGAGGAGCAGCGAGCAGGCCAGGCCTGTAAAGCAGAGTGAGGGAACCAGGATAGAGAAGGCAAGTCGGGGTCCTGTGGTCGCTGAAGAATTTGAATGAAATCAGTAAACAGGTGAGAGGGATCCATCGCAAGAGCATGGGATGAAAGGAGGAGTAGTCCACGGTGATTCCTCTGCAGCGGTGGGTGTTATTAATCGCGTATGTGACACCAAAACCACCCCACTCAAGCTGTGGCTCTTTCCCTAAAGTAGAAAACCGAGACCAGTTGGGTTCCAAGCATCCACGAAGATCTTATTAAATTCGTGATCCCTGGTGGCACCATGGAGTCAGGATTGGCTCATCTCAAACCTGACTCAGAAACAAAACCGTCACAATGTGCAGAGATGAGCGTCCTTACCGCTATCAACGTATTTTCTGGTGTTTTCACAGTGCTGCGCTTCCTAATCCCCATTCCATGGCAATCCACATGCCATGATGCCCGGAGTCATTAACAAAGGAGACACACAGGGGCTCCTCACGTTGGCTTTCCAGGGTTTTGATGAAAATCTGTTTCCTCGTCTCATACAATGTGGTTAGTAATAGTATCATTTAGGGTTGAAGAATTAAATGGTACGAGTTATATAGGGTGCTTATTATAACCTACATGGAAAATGCCTAGGATATGTTAGCTATGCTCATCACCAACATCGTTATATGATGGTAATAATCAGATAGTCAGGAAGCCTGACACCAAGAAAATGGATACATGCTCTGAAGGAATGAATGTGGAGAGATCAGAAGGTCAAGAACAAAGTCGTACAATATGTCTACAGTAAAGGGATAGAGAAAAGAAAGGCTATAAAAGAAGGAATGAAACAGAGTTAAATTATAGAAATCAAAGCTAAGGAGAATTTCCAGAAAGGGTAGTATCATTTAATATCATAGAAGTTTAGGAGCCCAAGATGGAAAAAAGGCCTCTGGGTAACTGACATTGAGGCAGTCTTTGGGGAAGCTCCATTTCCGATAGAGAAGTAGACTGAAAGTCAGCTTGAAGCAGGGACTAGGTGAAGAAGCTGTTGGCTGGTCGCATGGGGAAATAAATAAGGGATGGCATATGCCGTATTTCTGGATTTCTTTCTTTCTTGCCCAGCCTCTATATATGCACAGAGTTTGGCGAAAACTTACAAAAAATAAAAATGAAACCAATTTCGTTTGTAGACCCAAATACAATGCTTTCTGTTAGAATCAAGATAAATTCATGCCTCTCCCTTCTATTCAAACCGTCAGTTTTGAAATTAAACATCAGCTTTTCTTCTTCATTAAAATCATTTTCAGCTCTTCCCATTGATGGTTTGGGGGAGTTGCATAAGCAGTCAGGTCTTGATGAGTAGAGGAGGAGGGAACAAACACTTTCAGCAAAGGCAGAATTCTGAAATTCTGCTCATATTTTTTTCCAGTAACTTTCCTATGTTTGTGAGGTTATTCAGTCATAAAGATCCTAGTGAAATGTTTTTCAAGCTTTACTAATCATAATCACTGTGGACATTTGTTTAAAATGTGTATTCCCAGGCCTCTCACCTGGTGATTCTGATTCAGGAGATCATGGATGGGACTCAGCATACATGTGTTTGACAAGTATCACAAGTGGTTCTTATGGTCAGGCAAATTTGGGAAACTAACCAGGAATTTATGTTTTTATGACTGGCAGCTAGAAAAGATTCCTAGAGTCTTTGCTTTTTGAAAATAAAATATTTCTTTTTTAAAAGGAAAATTGTATGACTAGATACAGCATTTATACATGTGATAAATGTACTATACTGTGTGCTTTTGTCATATTTACAGTTAAAGATGTGTAAGAACACTCTGAGAAAAATTGTATATTAAATGAAAAGAGGGGTAAGTCAGGGTGGGGGAGAAATGAGAAGGGTGTGCTTATTGTTGCTAAAAGTTAGAAAAGCCAGAATGATAGCATCTAAGGTTGCAAATAGCACACTGTAAGTTGAGGGAGCTTCACAATCATGTCTGAAGCCTTCTTTGATATGCTGAGTTGTAAACAGTGGCTTTGGACAAGATTTGAGGGAGAAACCAACTATGCTTTAAAGTGTTCATTTAAAAGTCTTTAATTAAAGGAAAGTCTTTGCATTTACTTGAGCTAATTTAACTTCAGGACTTTAAGAAATTACTAGCCCTTAACCTCTTAAAAATTGTCTTTCATTTCAAATGAAAGTTTAAGGTGGCCTTTATGTTCGATTGGTATACTTGTGCGAAGACTTAACAGCAAGGTACTGTACAATTCTAAATGTTTACTTCTTAATTTTGCTGGAAGAAATATACTACTCAATTGATTATTTTTAAAGCAAAGTAAAACAATTTATTTTGACAAGTGACACTGTATTTTCCTAGTTTTTTGGTGGCAAAGATTAGTCTTAACATCACTAATCATCAGAGAAATGCAAATCAAAACCAAAACGAGATACCATCCTACACCAGTCAGAATAGCTACTATTCAAAAATTGAAAAACAACAGATCTTGGGAGGCTGTGGAGAAAGGGGAACATTTACACATAATTGGTGCAAATGTAAATTAGTTCAGCCACTGTTCAAAGCGGTTTGGAAATTTCTCAAAGCATTTAAAATAGAATTACCATTCAAGCCAACAATTCCATTACTGGTATATAACCCAAAGAGAATCAGTTATTCTACCAAAAAGACATATGCACTTGCATGTTCATCGCAGCACTATTCACAATAGCAAAGACATGGAGTCAGCCTAGGTGCCCATCGACAGTGGATTGGATCAATAAAATGTGGTACATCTACACAGTATGATTAGGCCATTCTTGCATTGCTATGAAGAAATACCTGAGGCTGGGTAATTTATAAGGAAAAGAGATTTAATTGGCTCACATCTCTGCAGGCTGTACAGGAAGCATGGTGATGGCATCTGCATGGCGCCTGTGGAGGCCCCAGGGAGCTTTTACTCATGATGGAAGGCACAGAGGGAGTAGGCACATCACATGGTCCGAGGAGGAGCAAGAGAAAATGGGAGTGGGGGTAAGTACCACACACCCTTACACAACCAGATCTTGAAAGAATTCACTATCACAAGGACGGCATCAGGCCATGAGAGATCCATCCCCATGACCCTACCAGGCCCCACCTCCAACACTGAGGATTACATTTCATCATGAGATTTATAGGGGCCACCTTCCAAACCATTTCATACACCACGGAATACTATGCAGCCATAAAAATAACAAAATCATGTCCTTTGAAACAACATGGATGCAGCCGGAGGCCATTATCCTAAGTGAATTAATGCAGGAACATAAAACAAAATACCACATGATCCCACTTATAAGTGGGAGCTAAACACTGGGTACTCATGGACATAAAGATGGAAAGAATAAACACCGGGACTACTAGAGGGGAGAAGGAGGAAGGCAAGGTTTGAAAAACTACCTATTGGGTATTATGCTCATGTATTAATCTGTTCTCACACTGCTGTAGAGAACTACCTGAGACTGGGTAATTTATAAAGAAAAGAGGTTTAACTGACTCACAATTCCACAGGCTGTACAGGAAGCATGGCTGGGAGGCTTCAGGAAACTTATAATCATGGCAGATGGTGAAGGGGGAAGCAAGGCACGTTCTACCATGGCGGAAGGAGAGCAAGTGAGCCAGGGGGGATTTGCCATATGTTTAAACCATCAGATGTCATGAGAACTCACTTACCATCTAAGAACAACAAGGGGGAAATCTGCCCTCATGAGCTAATCACCTCCCACCATGTCATTCCCCCTACATTGGGAATTACAATTCAACATGAGATTTGGGTGGGGACACAGAGTCAAATCATACCAAATCAGCATCTGGATGATGGGATCATTCATACCCCAAAACTCAGCATTATGAGATATACCCATGTAACAAACTGGCACATGTACCCCTGAATGTAAAATACAAGTTAAAATTATTTTCAAAATAAATTAATTAATGAATAAATAAATATTATTAAATTAAATTAAAATTTTGAATTAAAAAAATTTGAGAGTGATTTCAGCTTGACAGTTATGTAAGTTATGTAAATGGAAACAGTGAGTTCTGTAAGGTTCGGATAAATTGGACTATGTGTACTAAGTTGATGTCCAGTTGTTTGGATGAAAAGAAAAGAGGAGAAACATATAGATCTAACAGGAAAAAAATGGACAAGTTTTTATGATAGCAAAAAGAAAAATGGAGGAAATAGGACTGAGATTATAGTGATTGATAGATATTAATAGACGACTAAGTCAAAAGCCACTGGTTGCAGAAAATATTGATTAATTTTGTTTTATTCCAGTCAGACAACAAAATTCTATGCCCTGCCTCCAGAGAAAAACCTTTTAGCCCTGTAATTATCTTTATTCCAAGCACCATTCCATTCATTAAGTAGTGTATACGGTGATTAATAAGTGAATTATTCACCGAATTGAGACAGAAGTTTTGAGTATTTCAGGATATTAATAGTATAGTCAATGAACTAAAATAAAATTTGACTAGAGGTGTGATCACCATGAATGCCATGTTGGTATCTTGTTAGATTTGGCAACCTAAAGTTGACAAATTTATTTATAAAATAAACATTCATTGATGATTAATTTATAATTAGTAGACATGCTCTGTCTTCTTCCTTCGTTTTCTTTTTCATTCATTCATTCATTCCTACAGAGCAGTGACTTTCATTCTAAGATTCCCAGAATCCTAAGGAATTCTTGAACGTCATCATAGGGAGCCAGGTGTGGGGATTCCCAAAAGTTGTATTTAATACTTGAAAAAATCTCGAAAAGTTATATATTTACACCAGAAACAGCTATACAGGTTTTAAGTTATGTATATATAGTTGAATATATTTTATTTCTATCCAGAACTAAGTCATTAGAGTTAGTAATGTTGATTATTTCATACTGACCTAATGGGTAGCCTTTATATATCATTGATTACTTATTAATAAAATAAGAACCACCCCCAAAATTACAAAATAAATATATTTTGTGGGTTTTTCTTAAGGCTTTTGAAACATAAAATCAGAGGAGAGGATTAAAAGTAATCCGTGATTGTTAAAAAGGCAGGAAACTACTAACTTAGAAAATTGTATGAAAACAGCAAGATATATACATGGACCTCAGACCAGCTGCCTGTTTTAATAAAGTTTTATTGGAGCACATCCATGGATCTATGGTGCTTTCCTGCTACAATGGTAGAGTTGAATGGTTGCTATAGAGACCGTATGGTTTGCAAAGCTTAAAATATTTATCATCTGGTCCTTTATAGCAAAAGTGAACCCAGTTTTAGAACATTCACTTCACAAATTAAGATACAGTGGATGCTGCCTTAACTGACCTCCACTTAACTGATTTACAATTAGCACTTTCTGGTACCCCTGTACAACTTATTGACTGATGTCCATTGCAAACTGAAAGCCTTTGAGCTACTTTTAATGCCTGTACATTTCTCCTTCCATCACAGAAATTATATAGTTTCTAAGAGGAAGCTGTGTTCATTCCTAAATATGTTTACACCATTTGTTCTTGCTCTTGTAGTTATGCAATTTAATTAAATATTATATTGGGAGGCTAAGGAGGGCGGATAACTAGGTCAAGAGATCGAGACCATCCTGGCTAACATGGTGAAACCCGGTCTCTACTGAAAATACAAAAAAATTAGCAGGGCGTGGTGGCGGGCGCCTGTACTCCCAGCTACTTGGGAGGCTGAGGCAGGAGAATGAGGTGAACCTGAGAGGCGGAGCTTGCAGTGAGTAGAGATGGCACCACTGCACTCCAGCCTGGGCAACAGAGCGAGACTCCATCTCAAAAAAAAAATAAATAAAATAAAAAATAAATATTATGTAAACTGAGAAAATGAGTACAACAAGAGTAGTATTGTTGTTTCTTTGAGAAATAAACCAAATGTGTTGGGAAAATGAGACACTCAAACAGTTGCTGCCAACTTAACAGTGGGCAAGACAACTAGAAACAAATGGGAAAAATTGTATACTCTAGGATTTCAGATTGCTTTACCCCAGTTGTCTTCACAGAAAGTGAACGAGAAATGAATGACAACATATCATTGGCATAGTTTCCACAAGAAACTCCACTCATTGAATCCGTGCAAGGCTTTGACCTTGTCATCAAAATAGTGGCAAATTTATTTACACATGTCTTTTAAATTAAAGTTGTTTTAAGGACTTACATCTAATACTTCTTATGATTCCTCCATCTAACTTAAATTTGTTATTAATCTATTTATTACTGGTCCCAATCTTATTGAATAAGGGGGTTTCTACCGTTTTTGCTAACAAAAAGTTTACTTTGATGAAGTTGGAATTATAAACACAATAATTCAAGTTTAAAGAATTAGAATGGTAATGGTTAATATAATATAGTATGCCTAAAAATCACTTGAAAAGCTTACTAACAATGCAAATTCTTGTGCCTTAGGCCTGAGATTTTGATTCAGTAGGTCTAGCATGGGGCATAGGAATCTGTATTTTTAGGAATGTTAAAGGAAAATTGCTTCAAGTAGGATAAATTATGACTTACAAATATAAAATGAACATTTGTCTAAGATTTTTGTTTAACTCATTTATTTAATGAGGGAGTCAGTAAGATGTTATAATGAGTTTTATGGAAAATTAAAAGAGCCACACATCTCTATGCACTAAGGAACACTGAAATAAATTTTCTTGATAGGTTCAAAACTGACTTCTTGATGGAAGGTGAAAAAAGGAAAATTAATTATACTTCCACCCAAATCAGTCATTTGCATGTCTATGGACAAGAATATTTGCATTACTATCAGTAATCTATGACTAACAGGATTGCAAATAACAAAGAAAACAAAAGGCAAAAAGACCCCATAGAAACAGATAACCCAGGTTATTCTAGGCAAGGCTGAGATTTCTTGAAGACACTCAGTGGTAATTTCATTGGTCCATCTTAAAATCTTTCCATTTTCTTCTGAAACAAGTTGCTCAAGCAATTCAAATACAATGAATGTGGTCAGTGGGTCACACCTGGAGAATCATTTTCTAACCTATAATCAAGACTGTTGAATTACTCCCTTCACTAGAAAGAATAAAATATTACCACATACATTTGTATTATGATAATGGCCCACTATGAATGCTTTGGCGTTCTTAATTTTCTTAAGATTTATTAATATTTCTGAAGTAACTACTAAATGCCAAGCAATATATTTTCTAATTTAATCTTTCATTGACTTTTACTTTCACTTCAATTGAGCTACTCACTTTCATGGCTATAAACTTTTCAATAACTTAAAAATTGATTTCTAATGTTATAAACTTTAATGTTCCACTCTGTGACCTGCTCTTTCAGACTCTCTCTTCCTTACTGCCAATTCACCTTCTATCTCTTCAAGTGCCCCAGTATCTTGACTCTTCCATTTTCTTTTTTTTTATTAAGTGGACACATGATAATTTCACATGTTGATGGGGTACAATGTGGTATTTTGATACATGATACATTGTTAAAACCTCTTCTCCCTAACTTTCCCAGTCTGGTAACCACTCTTCTACTCTCTATTAGATCAGTGTTTTTAGATTTCACATATGAATGAGATCATGTGATATTTGTCTTTCTGTGGTTAGCTTATTTCACTTACCACAATGTCCTCTCTACTCATTCATGTTGTCACAAATGACACGATTTTATCCTTTTTTTATGGCCAAGTGTGCATATGATATAGTTTGGATATTTGTCCTGACCCATATCTCATGTTATATTGTAATCCCCACTGTTAGAAATGGGGCCTGGTAGGAGGTGTTTGGGTCATGGAGGTGGATCCCTCATGGCTTGGTGCTATCCTCATGATAGTGAACAAGTTCTCAAGCTTCCTGAGGCCCCAGAAGCAGATGTTGGCACTATGCTTCCTGTAGAGCCCACAGAACCAGGAGCCAATTAAGTCTCTTTTCTTATAAATTATCCAATCTCAGTTATTTCTTTATAGCAATGCAAGAATGGCCAAATACAGCATATATGCCACATTTTCTTTATCCATTCATTCATTGATGGACACTTAGGTTGATTCTAGGCTATTGTGAATAGTGCTGTAATAAACATGAGAGTGCAGAAATCTCTTTGACATACTGATTTAATTTTCTTTGAATATACACCCAGTAGGGGGATTGCTGGATTATGTGGTAAGTCTATTTTTAATGTTTTTGGAAGTTATATTGTTTTCCATAACAATTGCTCTAATTTACATTTCCACCAACAGTGTATGAACATTCCCCTTTCTTCACATCCTTGCCAGCATTTGTTATTTTTTGGCTTTTTCATAAAAGGCATTCTAAGCAGGGTGAGATGATATCTCACTGTGGGTTTTTTCACTTGCATCTGTGTGAAGAGACCACTAAACTAAACAGGCTTTGTGTGAGCAATAAAGCTGTTTATTTCACCTGGGTGCAGGTGGGCTGAGTCCGAAAAGAGTCAGTGAAGGGAGATGGGGTGGGGCCATTTTATAGGATTTGGGTAGGTAAAGGCAAAAGGGGGGTTGTTCTCTGGCGGGCAGGAGTGGGGGTCACAAGGTGCTCAGTAGGGGAGCTTTTGAGCCAGGATGAGCGAGGAAAAGGAATTTCACAAGATAATGTCATCAGTTAAGGTACGAACAGGGCATTTTCACTTCTTTTATGGTGGAATGTCATCAGTTAAGTCAGGAACCGGCCATCTGGATGTGTACGTGCAGGTCACAGGGGATATGATGCCTTAGCTTGGGCTCAGAGGCCTGACATTCCTGTCTTCTTATATTAATAAGAAAAATAAAATGAATTAGTGGTAAAGTGTTGGGACAGTGAAAATTTTTTAGGGGTGGTATGGAGAGATAATGGGTGATGTTTCTCAGGGCTGCTTCGAGCGGGATTAGGGGCGGCGTGGGAACTTAGAGTGGGAGAGATTAAGCTGAAGGAAGATTTTGTGGTAAGGGGTGATATTGTGGGGTTGTTAGAGGAAACATTTGTCATTTAGAATTATTGGCGATGGCCTGGATACAGTTTTGTATGAATTGAAAAACTAAACGGAATAAGACAAGGAGAAAAACAGGTATTAAAGGACTAACAATTGGGAGGACCTAGGACATCTAATTAGAGAGTGCCTAAGGAGGTTCAGCATAGCTTTGCCAGCAAAGATTTTTTATTTACTTTAAGAGTTAAGAGTGACGGTTTGAGGGTAGCACCAGGAGATATCAGCTGTGATGGCTTGGAGAAACAGTGTAAACTGGCAGTGTAAACAAGAGCAGGGCATGTATGAGTAGTTGAGAATGGTGAATAGGAGTATGAGTAGACAGAAGATAGTAGGGATGACAAGTTTTTTGGGGCATAGTCCAAGTTGATCTGGTGTCTGGAATGAGACTGGGGCCTAATAAAAAGGAGCGTCTATACAGGAGCTCAAATGGGCTATACCTTGTAGTATTCTGAGGACAGGCCTGAATTCTGAGAAGGGAAAGTGGTAAAAGTATTGTCCAGTCCTTTTTAAGTTAGTGGCTGAGCTTGGTGAGGTGTGTTTTTAAAAGACTATTAGTCTGTTCTACTTTTCCTGAAGACTGAGGACTGTAAGGGATATAAAGGTTTCACTGAATACTAAGAGCCTGAAAAAATGCTTGGCTGATTTGACTAATAAAGGCCGGTCTGCTATCAGACTGTATAGAGGTGGGAAGCCAAACCAAGGAATTATGTCTGACAGAAGGGAGGAAATGACCGTGGTGGCCTTCTTCGACCCTGTGGAAAAGGCCTTTACCTATCTAGTGAAAGTGTCTTACCTAGACCAAGAGGTATTTTAGTTTCCTGACTCGGGGCATGTTGAGTAAAGCTAATTTGCCAGTCCTGGGTGGGGTCAAATCCTTAAGCTTGATGTGTAGGGAAGGGAGGGGGCCTGAATAATCCCTGAGAAGTAGTAGAATAGCAAATTTGCCTGTCCTGGGCAGGAGCAAATCCTTGAACTTGATGTGTAGGGAAGGGAGAGGGCCTGAATAATCCCTGAGGAGTAGTAGAATAGCAGATGGAACACTGAGAAGTTATTTCCTTGAGGATAGATTTCCACGATGGAAAGGAAATGAGAGGTTCTAAGAGGCGGGTTAGTGGCTTGTACTATAGCATAGCCTGCCTTTGCTGGTGTGTGGTGATTAGGCCTGGTGGAACTGCCATCAATAAACCAAGTGTGATCAGGGTGAGAAACAGGGAAGAAGGAAATGTGGGGAAATGGAGTGAATGTCAGGTGGATCAGAGAGATGCAGTCATGGGGGTCAGGTGTGGTATCAGAAATAATGTGGGAGGCCAGATTGAAGTTGGGCCAGGAAAAATGGTAATTGTGGGAGACTCAACAAAGAGTGAGTACAGCTGAAGGAGCTGGGAAGCAGAAAGTATATGCGTCAGGTGTGAGGAAGAAAATAGATCTTGGAAATTATGAGAGCTGTAGAGAGTGAGTTGAGCATAGTTTGTGATTTTAAGGGCCTCTAAAAGTATTAGGGTGGCAGCAGCCGCTGCATGGAGACATGATGGCCAGTCTAAAACAGTAAGGTCAAGTTGTTTGGACAAAAAGGCTACAGGACGCGATCCCAGTCCTTGTGTAAGAATTCTGACTGCACAGCCCTGCACTTCAGCTGTGTGTAATGAAAAGGGTTGGGATGAGTCAGGGAGAGCTAGAGTGGGGGCAGTCTCTAAAGCTGTCTTCAAGGAACAGAAAGAGGAGTGGGGAAAGGATTTAGGATCTATGGGGTCATGTAGGTTTCCTTTTGTGAGTTTATGTAATGGTTTTGTTAGGATGGCAAAACCAGGTATCTAAAGGCGAAAGTATCTAACCATGCCCAGGAAGGAAAGGAGTTGTTGTTTTGTAGAAGGGTTTGGGGTTTGAGAGATTGGTCAGACATGATTGGCAGGGATAGCACATGTGTTTTTATGAGAATTATGCTGAGATGGGTAACGGATAAGGAAGAAATGTGGGCTTGACTGAAGTAATGGAGGCTGTCTGTGAAGCTTTACAGCAGTACAGCCTAGGTAATTTGCTGAGCCTGATGGGTGTCAGGGTCAGTCCAAGTGAAAGTGAAGAAGGCTGGGATGAAGGGTGAAAAGGAATAGTAAAGAAAGCATGTTTGAGATCCAGAACAGACTAATGGATTGTGGAGGGAGGTATTGAGGATAGGAGAGTATATGGGTTTGGCACCATGGGGTTCATAGGCAAAACAATTTGGTTGATAAGGCATAGATCCTGAACTAACTTGTAAGGCTTGTCTGGCTTTAGGACAGGTAAAATGGGGGAATTGTAAGGAGAGTTTATAGGCTTTAAAAGGCCATGCTGTAGCAGGCGAGTGATAACAGGCTTTAATCCTTTCAAAGCATGCTGTGGGATGGGATATTGGCATTGAGAGGGGTAAGGGTGATTAGGTTTTAATGAGATGGTAAGGGGTGCATGATGAGTTGCCAAGGAGCGAGTAGAGGTATCTTATACTTGTGGGTTAAGGTCGGGGGATACAAGAGGAGGATGCAAAGGAGGCTTTGGATTGGGAAGAAGGGCAGAAATGAGATGTAGCTGTAGTCCAGGAATAGTCAGGGAAGCAGATAATTTAGTTAAAGTGTCTCGGCCTAATAAGAGAACTGGGCAGGTGGGGATAACTAAAAAGGAGTGCTTAAAAGAGTATTGTCTAAATTGGCACCAGAGTTGGGGAGTTTTAAGAGGTTTAGAAGCCTGGCTGTCAATACTTACAACAGTTATGGAGGCAAGGGAAACAGGCCCTTGAAAAGAAGGTAATGTGGAGTGGGTAGCCTCCATATTGATTAAGAAGGGGATGGACTTACCTTCCACTGTGAGAGTTACCTAAAGCTCAGCATCTGTGATGGTCTGTGGGGCTTCCGAGGTGATCAGGCAGTGTCAGTCTTCAGCCGCTAAGCCAAGAAGATCTGGGAAGGAGTCAGTCAGACAGCCTTGAGCCAGAGTTCCAGGGGCTCTGGGAGTGGCTGCCAGGTGAGTTGGACAGTCCAATTTCCAATGGGGTCCTGCACAGATGGGACATGGCTTAGGAGGACATGGCTTAGGGCTGTGGGCATTTCTTGGCCTGGTGGCCAGATTTCTGGCACTTGTAGCAAGCTCCTAGTGGGGGCGGTTCTGTAGGAATGCATGGCCACTGCGGTTTAGGCATTTGGAAGTTCTTGTGTGCTGGAGATGTGGCTGGGGTTTGTCTCACAGTGGAGGGAAAGAATTGCAACTCAGAAATATGTTGCTACTTGGCTGCCTCTACTCTATTATTGTACACCTTGAAGGTGAGGTTAATTAAGTCCTGTTGTGGGGTTTCAGGGCCAGAATTTCATTTTAGGAGTTTTATTTAATGTCGGGAGCAGATTGGGTAATAAAATGTATGTTGAGAATAAGACGGCCTTTTGATCTTTTAGGCTCTTAGGGCTGTAAAACATCTCAGGGTTGCTGCCAAACGAGCCATGAACTGGGCTGGATTTTTATATTTGATGAAAAAGAGCCTAAACGCTATCTGATTTGGGATAAAGAAAAAGGAGCATTAACCTTGACTATGCCTTTAGCTCCAGCCACCTTTTTAAGAGTAAATTGCTGGGCAGGTGGGGGAGGGCTAGTCACAGAATGAAACTGAAAGCCAGACCGGGTGTGAGGAGGCGAGGTGATAAAAGGATTATAGGGTGGAGGAGCAGAGGCTGAGGAAGAATTGGGACCTAGCTCAGCCTGGTGAGGAGGGGAGAGGTCAGATGGGTCTGTAGAAAAGGAAGATTAGAAAGACTCAGCAATGCTTGGGGTTGGGACTGAGGGGACAGGTGGGAGGGAAAGAAGGAAGATTTGGGATGAGTTACATTGGGAACAGAGACTAGGGAGGGACTGATGTGTAAAAGAATGCCTGGACATCAGGCACCTCAGACCGTTTGTCTATTTTATGACAAGAATTATTTAGATCTTGTAGGATGGAAAAATTGAAAGTGCCGTTTTCCAGCTATTTGGAACTACTGTTGAGTTTGTATTGGTGTCAAGTGGCATTGCAGAAGAAAATAAGATGCAAGATGCTTAGATTTTAGGTCAGGTGAGAGTTGAAGAGGTTTTAAGTTCTCAAGAACACAGGCTAAGGGAGAAGGAGGAATGGAAGGTGGAAGCTTTCCCATAGTGAAGGAGGCAAGCCTAGAGAAAAGAGAGTAGAGACACGGAGAAGGGGTGGGGGGTTCTTGCCCTCCAGAAAAGCAGAGAAGGGGTTGGGGCGTGGAAATAAGGAGCTGGGGCACAGAGATAAGAGGTCGGGGCACGGAAATAAGGGATCGGGGCACAGAGATAAGAGGTTGGGGTTCCTGCCCCTCCTCCAGAAAAGCAGAACTTGCCATTAAGGGTGAAGGAGAAGGGGTTGAGGGGTTCTTTCCCCTCCCCCAGAAAAGTGGAGAAGGGGTAGAGACATGGAGAGAAGGGATTGGGGTTCTTGCCCCTCCCCCAGAAAAGTGGGACTTGCCACTAAGGGTGAAAGACCAAGGCAGGCATCCCTGTGTGGTCTGACACCTCTGAAACCTGGGTGAATAATCAGAGAGGCGTCCCTGCAATGATTAAACACCAATGGAAGGCTGCCTTCCCTAGTCTGTGACCAGCACCAGGGTTTTGGGTCCATGGATAAAACGTGTCTCCTTTGTCTCTACCAGAAAATGAAATGAATTGAAATTAAGAGAAGAGAGAGATTGAAGTGTGGCACCAAGATTGAAAGGAGAAAGAGGTTGAGGGATAGTGAGGGAGGTTGGAGAAGAGAGTAAAAAGAGGCTACTTACCGGATTTGAAATTGGTGAGATGTTTCTTGGGCTGGTTGGTCTGAGGACCTGAGGTTATAGGTGGATCTTTCTCACGGAGCAAAGAACAGGAGGACAGGGGATTGATCTCCTAAGGGAGGTCCCCCGATCTGAGTCACGGTACCAAATTTCACTCGCGTCCATGTGAAGAGACCATCAAACAGGCTTTGTGTGAGCAATAAAGCTGTTTATTTCACCTGGGTACAGGTGGGCTGAGTCCGAAAAGAGAGCCAGTGAAAGAAGATAGGGGTGGGGCCATTTTATAGGATTTGGGTAGGTAAAGGAAAAAGGGGGGTTGTTCTCTGGTGGGCAGGAGTGGGGATCACAAGGTGCTCAGTAGGGGAGCTTTTGAGCCAGGAGAAGGAATTTCACAAGATATTGTCATCAGTTAAGGTAGGAACAGGCCATTTTCACTTCTTTTGTGGTGGAATGTCATCAGTTAAGGCAGGAACCAACCATCTGGATGTGTACGTGCAGGTCACAGGGGATATGATGGCTTAGCTTGGGCCCAGAGGCCTGACAGGTTTGACTTGCATTTCTCTGATTATTAGTGATGGTGAGCATTTTTTTCATATACCTGTTGGTGATTTTTATGTCTTATTTGGAGAAATGTCTATTCAGCTCTCTTGACTATTTTCTAATCCAATTATTTGTATTTTTGCTATTGAGTTGTTTGAGTTTTCTATAAATTTGGGATATTAACCCCTTATCAAGTGAATAGTTTGCAGATATTTTCTCCCATTTTGTAGGTTGTCTGCTTACTCTTGTGATTGTTTCCTATGCAGTGCAGAAGTTTTTATTTGGTGTAATCCCATTTGTTTATTTTTGCTTTTGTTGTGCATGTCTTTCGATGTCTTTTCTAAAAAGTCCTTGCCCAGACCAATGACATATAACATTTCACCTATGTTTTCTTCTACTAGTTTCATAGTTTGGGGTCTTACATTTAAATATTTAATTTATTTTGAGTTGGTTTTTGGATATGATGAGAGATAGGGGTCTACTTTCATTCTTTTGTATGGGGATATCCACTTTTCCCAGCACCATTTGTTGAAAATACTGTCTTTTCCCCATTGAATGTTTGCATCTTTGTCAAAAATAAGTTGCATGTAAACGTGTGGATTTATGCCTGGGCTCTCTATTTTTGTTCCACTGGTCTGTGTCCCTGTTTTTATGCCAATACCATGCGTTTTAGTTAGGATAGCTTTGCAATACATTTTGAAATTAGATAGTGTAATACCTCTAGCATTGCTCTTTTTGCTTAAGATTTATTTGGCTATTTGGGGTGTTTTGTAGTTTCACATGGATTTTAAGATCTTTTTTAATATCTGTGAAGAATGAAATTGGAAATTTGATAGAGATTATATTGGATCTATAGATTGATTTGAGTAGTGTGGTCATTTCAACAATATTAATTCTTCTAGTCCATGAATATGGGGTATCTTTCTATTTATTTTAATTTTTTTCAATTGCTTTTATCAATGTTTAATAATTTTCATCTTTCCGTGGCTTAATTTGCTTGTAGGTATTTTGTTTTTTTTAATAGCTATTTTAAATGGGATTACTTTCTTGATTCCTTTTTCAGATAGTCTGCTATTGGTGAATAGAGATGTTACTGATTTTTTATGTTGCTTTTGTATCTTGAAACCTTATTGTATTCATTTACTATTTCTGATTCTCAGTGGGGTATTTAGGGTTTTTTACATATATGATCATGTCATCTGCAAAGAGGGACAATTAGACTTTTTTTTCCAATTTGGATGCCTTTTATTTCTTTCTCTTACCTAATTGTTCTGACTAGGACTTCCAGTACTATGTTGAAAAAAGTGATTAAAGTGAACATCCTTGTCTTGTTCCAGATCCTAGAGGCAAAGCTTTCAACTTTTCACCATTCAGTATAATGTTGCCTGTGGGTTATCACATATGGTCTTTATTTTATTATGTTCTTTTATAACTAATTTGTCAAAAGATTTGATCATAAAAGGATGTCTAATTTTGTCATATGCTTTTTCTGCATCTATTGAAATGATTATATGTTTTTTATCCTTCATTGTTTAATGTGATGTATCACAGTTATTGATTTACATGTGTTAGACCATCCTTACCTCCCCGGGTAAATACCACTTGATTATGGTGAATAATCTTTTTAATGTGCTTTTGAATTATCATTGCTAGCACTGCTGGTTTTGAATGTTTGCATGTATGTTTATCAATGATATTGGCCTGGAGTTTTATTTGCTGTTCTTGTCTCATTTTGGATTCAGGTAATGCTGTCTTCATAGAATGAGTTTGCAAGAGTTCCCTCCTTTTCATTTTTTTGAAATAGTTTGTAAATAATCTGTATAAGTTTTTAAAATATTTTGTAGAATTTGTCAGTGAAAACCATCAAGTCATGAACTTTTCTTTCTTCTTCTATTTTTTTAGAGACAGAGTCTCACTCTATCACTGAGGCTGGCATACAGTGGTGCAGTCGTAGCTGACTGCAGCCTCAAACTCCTGGTCTTAAGTGATCCTCCTGCCTCAGCCTCCTGAGTATAAGTACACACCACTATACCTGGGGAATTTTTATTTTTATTTTTAGAGATGGAGTCCCGTTGTGTTGCCCAGGCTAATCTTGAACTCCTGGCCTCTAGTGATTCTCCTGCCTTGGGATCCTAAAATGTGAGATTACAGGTGGGAGCTACTGTGTGAAGTCTTTTGGATTTTCCTTGACTGACAGACTAAATCACTCCTTCAATCTCATTATTTGTCATTGGTGTGTTCACATTTTCCATTTCTTCTATCTTCAATTTTGATAGGTTATATGTGTCCAGAGCATATGTATTTCTTCTAAGTTTTTCAATTTATTGGTGTATAATTGTTTGTAGTACTTACTCATGATTCCTTGTATTTCTGTAGTGTCCATCATAGCATATCCTTTTTCATTTCTGACTTTATGTGAATTTTCTCTTTTTTTCTTAGTCTGACAAAACGTTTGTCAATTTTACCTTTTCAAAAAAGATTCTTTAATTAATCATTTGTATTTTTTGTCTTCATTTTGTATATTTGTGCTCTGATCTTTATATTCTTTTGCTAATTTGGGTCTTAGTTTGTTCTTGATTTTATAGTTCCTTGAAATACATAATTAGAGGGTTTATTCATTATCTTTCTTCTTTATTGATGTAGAAATGTATTGCTATAAACTTCCCTCTAAGGACTGTTTTGCTGTATCTCATAAGTTTTCATATGTTCTGATTTCATTTTTATTTGTCTTAAGACATTTAAAAAAATTTTTTTTTTCATTGACCCGTTGGTTGTTTAGGGATATATTGTTTAATTTATATGTATTTGCACAATTTCTGAAGTTTCTCTTATTGTTTATTTCTAGCTTTATTCCATATGGTCAGAAAAAATATGTGATATGATTTGATTTTTTGATTAGCTAAGACTTGTTTTGTGGTCTAACATATCTATCATGGACAATATTCCATGTGCAGATGAAAAGACTGAATTATTCAATTGTTGGATGAAATGTTATGTAAATAACTGTTAAATTCTTTTGACCTAGAGTGCAGTTTAAATGTTTCCTTGTTGACATTCTCTCTCAATGATCTGTTCATTACTGAAAATGGGATGTCAAGGTTTTTTACTATTATTGCACAGTTTTTTGTCTCTCCTTTTAGAACTATTAATGTTTGCTTTATATATTTAGGTTCTCCAATGTTGAGTGCATTATGTATTTACAATTATTGTATTCTCTTGTTGTACTGACCCCTTTATTATTACATAATGGCCTTGTTTGTCTGTGTTTATAGTTTTTTTACTTGAAGTATATTTTATTTGATATAAATATACCTACTCCTGCATTCTTTTGATTTCCATTGTCGTAAAATATATTTTTCCATCTGATCACTTTCAATTTATGCGTGTATTTAAAGGTGATGGGAGTCTCTTGTAGAAAGAATATAGTTAGGTCTTGTTTTTAATCCATTTACCCATTCTCTGTCTTCTTACTGGATAATTTAATCTATTTACATTCAAGGTAATTATTGATAGATAAGGACTTGTACTGCCGTACGTGGTTTTCTTGTTGTCTTTTAGAATTTTTGTACCTTTTTGTTCCTTTATTGTCTTCCTTTGTAGTTAAGTGATTTTTTCTGTGTGTTTTTGTTTCTTGTTCTTTTATTTTTAGTGTATCTATTAAATATTTTTGCCTTTTGGTTTCTATGAGGCATGTGAAGAATATTTTATGGTTTCAACAGGTAATTTGAATGGATAACAACTTAATTTTGATAATAAGAAATGGGGAAAAACAATCACTCTGCTCTTTAACTCAATCACTCCCCCACATTTTGCATTTTTGATGTCTGAATTTACATCTTTTATATCACTTATCCCTTAACAAATTATTGTAGTTGTTATTATTTTTGTTTTGTATTTTAACCTTCTTACTAAAAATATGTAAGTGGTTTACATTCAATTATTACTATATTAGAGCATTCTGAATTTGTCTGAATATTTATTTTTACCTGTGGATTTATACCTTCCAATTTTTTGCATTACATATTAGTGCCCTTTTCTTTCACTTTGAAGACGGTTCTTTAACATTTTTTTTAAGGCAGGTATGGTTACAATGAATTCCTTCATCTTTTGTTTGTCTTAGAACGTTTTAATCTCTCCTTCATTTCAAATGAGAGCTGTTCTGGATACTACATTCATGGTTGACAGTTTTTTTCTTCAGCACTTGATTCTATTATCCTACTCTCTCCTGGCCCACATTGCTTCTGCTGAGAAGTCTGCTGCCAGGCACATTATGTATTATATGCTTCCTTTTTCTTAGTGCTTTCAGGACCTACTCTTTGTTTTTGACCTTTGAAAGTTCAATTATAATATATCTTGTGGTTGTCTTATTCAGATTAAATCAGATTAGTGCGCTTTGGCCATCCTAAACATCTTAATGTTTCTCTAAGTTTAAAAAGTTTTCTGTTATTTCTCTGAATAATTTTCTAACTCTTTTTCATTCTCAGTTCCACTTTAACACTGTAGATTTTTTTTTTTTGATGGTGTCCCATGGATCTCATAAGTTTTCTTTGTTTCTTCTCATTTTTTTCTCTTTTCTACTCTTGACAGTGTATTTTCAAAGAGCCTGTCTTTGAGCTCACTGTTTTTTTCTTCTACTTGATCAGTTCTGCTTTTGATGCCCTCTAGTGCATTTTTCAATTTGTTTACTGAACTTTCCAACTCCAGGATTTCCACTTGATTTTTTCCCATTATTTTAAATTCTTTGTTGAATTTCTTATAAATTTCCATATTGTTTCTCTGTACTTTGTTGAAGTTCACCGATTTTTTTTTTAAAATCAGCTATTTGAATTTTTTTTGTCTGCCACATCATTCATTTGCATGTCTTTAGGTTCAGTTGCTGACACCTTATTTTCTCCATTTGGTGAGGCAGTTTTTCCTAGGCTATTCTTATTTTTTGTAGATGTATATCTCTGTCTACACATTGATGAATTAAATATTTATTTCAGTCTTCTCAGTCTGGGTTTGTTTTTGACTGTTTCTCAGTGGGCTTGTTTAGAAATTCGGTGTGGATTTCCATTATATTCCATTTTAGCATTAGGAGGTGCCCAAAGCAAAGGTTAGACATAAGTCTCACAATGGGGCTTCACCACTGATGCAATGTAACTGAATGGGCCCATGGGTGATCCACAGAAAGGCTCCTGGCTGTGGGGGAGAACAAGTCAGGCTATCAAATCTGGACAGTCTGTGTATCATGTTTCCCACAGCATGGTGCCCATAAACAACCTCTCTGGTGTAGTGTTTCCTCTGGTAGGAATGGCTAGCCACTGCTAAGTTTCATATAATGAGTATTGCTAACCCAACCCCTTCTCTATGTCCCTAGCATGCCTCGGGCGGTTCAGCTCTGTTGACACTCATGGTGCTGCTTGTGGGCTGATGCAGGAGTCTACTGTGAAGGGACTCAGTATGGTGGAAAAAAATATTCAACTTCTGCTCACTTTATTCAGTGTAAGAACTGTAAGGAGGACTTTCTGCATATAATACCATTATGGCCTGGGGGAGGAGTATCACAGTCACAGAGTACTGGTTCCCTTACTGTCCAAGCATGGTTCTACTCTTTGCAGTCCAAAGGGGCTTCATAGACTGACTCATGTATTCAGGGTTCGTTAGCTCTTGTAAAGGTAATTTTATATGTGGATAGTTGTTCATATAGATGTGTCCGTAGGGGTAAGATTACTGGAGAGATCGACTCCACTACCTTGCTCTGCCCAAATCCTTCCCCTTTCCAACAAGAGTTTGCCACCTCCTAGTTTTCTTTTTTCTTAACCAAACTAAGTTTAGCCTTTTAATCCTTAACTCTCCTCCACTTCTAATGCCATTGCTTCTTTGTATGCTTATTGTATTTTCCATGCTATATGACTTTCAGCTGGTTATTTACAGTATGTAAGTTTTAATATCCTGTAAAAGGGGGATAATAATAGCATCCATTTGATAGGGATGTTAAAGATATTAAATGACACTGTCCATGTTAAATAACTTTTTAAGATATATTGAGATGTTTCTGTACTTCCTTGTTCTGGCCTTCTTGTTGAACCAGAGAAATCTATTGCCATGAAAAGCAATAAAATTGTGATAGTAGAAATTAAAAGTGAGTAGGAACTTATTTAAAAATCATCATTCTCCTTTTCAATGCAAAAATAAGAACTAGAAACTTTTAATAAGGCAATAGTCTGAAGAAATAACTTATGGAAGAGAACATGGGTTTTTTAATCCTAAAGGGTTCTTTTATATATTCAAGGGTCGAGATTGCCTGCCTTGTATCCTACTAAAATTTCAATGCAAGTTTCAGAGAGGGAGGAAAGAGTCAAAGAAAAAATTGCACTGGAAAAAGTTAAATAAGTAAGGAAGATATTATTCAACAGGGGAGAGAGGCCAGAACCTAGTCTGAACTCAGCTCCCCTGATACAAAGGGCAGTGGAGTTTTTGAAAGCGAGAGTAAGGGGGTGATCATAGGCCACCTGTCTTTGCTAACTGTCTTTTCTCAAAGGAAAAATAAACTTTCTTTTATCTTTATAATATAAGGTAATTTTTACAACTTGGAGCAAGATTAGGCTCTTACTCTCTCATAGAGACTGGGAAATAAGGTATTATCTTTCTGGAGGATTACATTTGAAAGGGATGGCTCCCAGATCCTTGAAAAAGGAAATTTTCTGCTAACAAGTTACACATGCCACTTCTACCTACATTTCACTGGCCAAACCGGTCACATGTCTAAATCTGACCCTTACTTCAATAGGACAGAAATGTATAATCTTCTAGGAGATAGGGCCACTGCAGTAGGAAGACCAGATAATGGGAGAATGGTAATATAATCTACCACATTGACCACAATGAAAACATTAGTAATCCCCAGGGTTAAACCGAGTCTTCTTGGACACTTAGGTTGATTCTAGGCTATTGTGAATAGTGGAATAATAAAAAATAAAGAGAATAGCCCCTTTATTTATTGCAGAGAAGCTAGACAATTCACAGTAACTTATGGCCTAGACAATTTTATTTCTTGATCAACACAACTCTTTATAGATGCCTGTGGTCCAAAAATGCGGATTCCTAATCATCCCCAAGAAGAAAGGATCCACTGCAAGGCAACCTGGGAGGGAGTTTGGGATGGTTCTGAGGCAGTGAAAGCCATTGAAATTCACACGTAAGAGGGTAGAGAAAGGGAATTCACATGTTTTGGTCCCTCCATGTGCTGGATATAACTTGGTCTTCATTACATTGCACCACCTTTGGTGTCAGAGAGAACTGGATTTGAATCCCAGTTCCATCACTCACTATGATTTGATGGTCAATGTGTTTTTAACTCGTCTGAGCCTCAGTTTGCTCATCTATAAAAGATGGGATTGTTACGAGGCTTGCATAAGGTAAGTGTATAAAAATCTGGGAATAATGCCTATAATTTAATAGACGGGGTTGTGATGAGGCTTCAATAAGGTAAGTGTGTAAAAATCTGGACACAATGTTATTAATTTTGTAGGTTTTCAATATATAGAGAAGGAGGATTATTTTTCTCTCATTTAATTTTTAGAACAAGTTTATAAAATTGGTATTATTCATATTTTTGAGATAAAGGATCAGTAAGTTTAAATAAATCACCATAGTCACAAAGCAGTTCACAATATATTGACTGGACAATTGCTAGTGAAAAGTAGCAATGATGATCACATTGAAAATCTTGTGTTAGGTGGTGGTTTTCTCTTGCATAAGCCTCTTCATTTGTTCAAACCATAGATTCTAAGTTGCTCTATTAAAGTGATCATTAGAAAAATATAATGTACTTAGTGTATAAGTTTTAGAAAATTTCCTTTGTTAGTCCTGTTAATTTGATTG
Organism: Homo sapiens; assembly: GCF_000001405.40. Lineage (NCBI taxonomy): Eukaryota > Metazoa > Chordata > Mammalia > Primates > Hominidae > Homo > Homo sapiens. The sequence goes on along the minus strand of NW_015495301.1, from coordinate 10,967 downwards.
AATATGTGCATTTTGAATTATGAATATAAATATGAATATGTATGATATATGAAATATGACTTGACGTCACAGAGTAACATTAGGTCGTGGCAATGTTTTTTTCTGAAAGCACCTGCAGAAATGTGTCTTCTTTCTAGTTTCCAAAAAACTCAGAGGCCATGGGGGAAGAGGGGACTTTGACTGTCAGATAGTGCATGAGGTACATTAGCATACAGTAATTTAATCATAATTCATATTCATAATTCACAGTGAGGAAACCTGAAAGTTGCTACCAGCTACCAATAAATGAAAGGTGGGGCGGCATCACTGGGGGGCGCGGTTTTGTGAGCCAGTGCCTGGACTTCCACATCACAAATGGAAGGGCAGCACGTGGAGGGAACTCAAGGCCTGATTGGTTCTTCCTAAGCAGTACGCGATCTGGCTGGCAGGGCAACCGGCCTTCCGTTGGTGGCCTTCAGTTAGTGCCTTCAGTGGGTGCCTTAAGTTGGTGGCATTTGGTTGCCTTTCCTGGGGAGAGGTGGCAGGTGCTCAGCTCTGCAGACGTGGGGGCAAGCGAAGGCCCAAGCTGCCTCGAGAAGAGCAGAGGTGCCCCATGGGGACCACGATGACGAGTTGCATGTGCACCAAAGCCAGCCCCCGGCAGGGTCAGCGCAGGGATTCTGCGGGGCCGTCCTGTGGCTCTGACATCTATGAGTGGGCGGCCAGCAGAGGCACAGGCACCAGCAGAGAGGAGCAGAGACGCCCAGAACACACTGTCCCCCAATGCCAGCCCCAAGCGGGGCCAGCTCAGGGTGCGGTGGGCAGAGCCATCCTGCAGCTCTGAGATCCGCAAGGTGGAGGTGGGAGTAGCGCCAGGCTCCACTGTGTTGGAGCTTGCCCCGTTTGAGCCCAATTTGATTCCGGAGCCATGACCTGCAGCACATTGGCGACCAGAAGACACCCAAAGGTAAGGAGGCGACAGATACCGCTTGGCCTCAGGACCTCCTCTGGCCATTGCTGAACCAAGGTTCCCCCAGAGACATCCACAGCCTGGGGCTCCTCCCTTCTTCACCTAGTTCCTTTCCTAGGTCCAGGCCCCAAGCATGAGGACTGGCTCTGCCTGGCGTCCCCACCCCTTCGTCTTCCCCTTTTGCATCCAGCCGGTTTCTTTTTCCCTCCCTACCCAAATGCCCAATTCTGGGTCCTTTTGTTCCCAGAGGCTGGCCAAAAACTAAGTTTTCAAAATACAAAATGGATGCTACAGATTTCGTTGCTGTAGAGGAAATGTCTGGCAGCTCTTGAATTTAAGCTTAAGTAGCTACACTGGGATTCACAATTTCATATCTTGAGTTCTAGACCAGAGCTCTCTACCCTAAAGCAATGACAGGGGGTTAGAGGTACTCTTCTTGATTCTAATAATAAAAAATGATTTTTTTGTAGGGACAAGGTCTCACTGTGTTGCCCAAGCTGGTCTCAAACCCCTGGCCTTAAGTGATTCACCCACCTTGGCCTCCCACACTGTTGGGATGACAGGCAAGAACCACCACACCTGGCCATTGGAGGTGCTATTGCTTTGTGTGGTTGGGCTGGTCTTCAGGCACAGCTGTCAGTAAGATCCTCCTGCGGTATAGTTCTAAGTTTTTCTGCACAAATTCAGTGGATCCTGTGATTTTTTTACATGGAATAGCCCCTTTATTTTTTGCAGAGAAGCTAGACAATTCACAGTAACCTATGGCCTAGAAAATTTTATTTCTTGATCAACACAACTGTTTATGGATGCTCGTGGTCCAAAAATGCAGATTCCTAATCACCCCCACGAATAAGGGGGCCATTGCAAGGCACCTGGGAGGGAGTTTAGGATTGCTCTGAGGCAGTGAAAGCTATTGAAATTCCCACATGAGGGGGCAGAAAAGGGAATCCACATGTTATGATCCCTCCATGTTCTGGGTGTAACTTGGTCCTTGTTAAATTGCACCATTTTTGGCATCAGAGAGAACTGGATTTGAATCCCAGTTCCGTCCCTCATTATGATTTGATGGTGAATGTGTTTTTAACTCGTCTGAGCCTCAGTTTGCTCACCTATAAAAGATGTGATTGTTGCGAGGCCTCCATAACATACATGTGTAAAAATCGTGGCAAAATGCTTGTAATTTAAAAGAGAGGGTTGTTAGGAGACTTCCATCAGGTAAGTATGTAAAAACCTGGACACAATGCCTATAATTTTGTAAGTGTTCAGTATGTGGAGAAGGAGAATTATTTTTCTCTCATTTAATTTTTAGAGCAACTTTATAAAATTGGTGATACTTATATATTTGAGATAATCAAACCAAGGATCAGAAAGACTAAATAAATCACCATAGTCACAAAGCAGTTCACAATACATTTACTGGATATTTTCTAGTTAAAAGTAGCAATGATGATCACATTGAAAATCTTATATTATGTGGTGGTTTTCTCTTACATGAGCTTCTTGGAATTTAGTAAGATAACTTGCAGCTCAAAAAGCAGATCCGTAGAATATTTTATTCAAGAGATTGTAGTGGGGGCCAAAGTATTGCATGAGTTTTGTTGGGAACAAGGTGTAGGCTGAGAATCTTAGCAAACTTCAGTTGGTGGTTTTCAGCTGGTGGGCAGTGGTGGAAGGAGGAGGAGCTCCGTCTGTGCTCTCTCTTACCCCAGTCACAGCCCTCAGGCTTGTTGCATCCAGGCCCTTCTGAGTTAAACCCGACAGGTTGACAGGTTTATTTAGCATTTAGCAGACAAGTCAGCTCAGGGTAGGCAGGTAAGGTGGGGTGTAGGCTGCTAGTACAGTGCTGCCCTGTGGCCCAGGGCTGCCCATGCCCGTGGGGCTATTCCATATATTATATATTATATATATAAAATTATATATATATAAAATTATATATATATAAAATTATATATATATGTATATAAGCCTGTTGGTTTGTTGAAAGCATGGATTCTAAGTTGCTCTATCAATGTGATCATTAGAAAAATGTGATGTACTTAGTGTGTAAATTTTAGAACAATTTCTTCTGTTAGTCTTGTTAATACTCAGTTCTTTTCTAAAACACCTAGCCCAAATCTCCATAGGTTTTAATCGAATTATATTATAATTTGGATTTTCTGGTCTGCCTATCTTCCAAACAATAAACTCCTTAAAATCAATTTTCTATTGCTGCCATAACAAATTACCACAACTTTGTGGCTTAAATCAAAGACTTACGACCCTATAGTTCTGTAGGGCAAACCTCTGACCGTGGTCTTACTGGGCTTAACTCAAGGTATTGTCAGGGCTGTATTGCTTTCTGGAGGCTCTAGAGAGAATCCATTTCCTTTTCCAACTTGTAGATGCTGTCCCCATTCCTTGGATCATAGGACCATCCCTCTATCTTCAAAGCCAGTAATGTGGGATATCTGTGACCATTGTTCTGTGGTCATGTCACCTTCTGACTGCAGCTAGGAAAGATTCTCTGATTTTATATTCTGTGGTCATGTCACCTTCTGACTGCAGCTAGGAAAGATTCTCTGATTTTATAGACACATGCAATTAGATTGGCCCCCAAGATAATCAAGGATAATCCCCCTAACTCAAGGATTAATCACATCTACAGAATCCATTTTGCCCCATGTAAAGTAATATGGTCACAGATTCCAGGGACTAGAACATCTTTATGGGGTCATTATTTTGACTGTCACAAAGGCAAAGTCTTGGACTTACTCATATCTAGATTTTCTTTGCTTAATTTCAGAGCCTAGAACACATTAGACTCTAAATAAATGGGAATGAGTGATAAATATTTTAATTTACAGATTGCTGCCACATTGCAATTCTGTCCTCCCACTGGTGGTGGAATCCTATGTACTTTTTTTACCATCTCCATTTTGCATTCAGACTGAACATGGCTATGTTATTCCCTTCACCTGGGTGATGTGAAACCATCTCTCTATTTCTATTTGTAGAGATCTTATCTATCAAGCCCTTCTCAAATGCCGCTTCATATTACTTTTTCTAATCCCCAGTTGTCTTAGTCAATTTATGCTCTTATAGTGAAATAACAGAGACTAGGCAATTTATGAAAACCAGACATTTATCTCTCACAGTTCTGGAGACTAGGAAGTCCAAGATCAAGGTGCTGGCAGGTCTGATGTTTGGTAAGGGCTGTTCTCTCCTTTCAAGATGGTGTCTTTATGCTGCATCCTCCAGAGTCAAGGAACACTGTGTCCTCACATGGTGGAAGGTGGGAGGGCAAGAGGAATGAACTCCCTCCATGAAGCCCTTTCATGAGGGCTCCTAAACCCATTCCTGAGGTAGGAGTCCTGATGGCCTAATCACTTCCTGTAGGCTCCACCTCAACACTATCACATTGTCAACGCTGAATCTCGGAGGAGGCACAGTGAAACCACAGCACCAATCAAGTATGATCTTCCTCTCCTCAGAAACCCCCTCATATGTTTAGACCTCCCATGCACTTTTATACATTTTGTCTCATGGTTTTTTCCTGTACTAATAAGGTGCTATAAATGGATAGCTATAGTTTTGGGTTTCATTTCAACAAAACACCCTTCCTAGTTTTTTGAACCCCAAGCAAAGTATGAGGACAGGCCCCACCTTCCATTACAAAAGCTGAAAGGGAGTGCATGATCCTTTTTCCAGTTTCTTGGCCACTCAAGTGTGGGCACATATCTAGGCCCAGCCAATGGATGTCTCTTTATTAGAACTTGGAACCCGACGAAATGATGCAAAAGACCTGAAAGAATCAGAGATGATTCTGAGCAACTGAGCAGAGATGCAGGTCCAGGAATGTGGCAGGAAGTGCCTAAGTTCAGCAGAGCCCAGCTACATGGTGATGAGTGTCAAATGGCAACATCCTAGTTGTGGCATCCCAAGATCTGCTTCCGTAGGATGAACTTGGCTGTGCCAAGTTTCCCTCAGCTCTTACCTTGCTTCTCCAGCATCTTCAGTGATTTTGTGAACTATTCAGTATCCTTTCATTGAATTCCTATTTTGCTTAAGTTGTCTAGAATTTATTTGTTATTGTCAGTGAAAAATATAAACCAATTATCCCCTCACATTAAAACACACTCCACTTAGGCATCTCCTGTGATCTCACTGGAGAAAAGTGTGGATGTTATTTTTAATTTGACTCAGAATGATAGGATTAGTTGGCACTAGTAACAATGGAGATAAGTAACTAACTTTTTGTGAAACTTCCTGGGGTGAAACAAAATCTATTGTGGAAACTGTTTACAATCATCTCTGGAAATTTATTAAGTGACCTAGTATATAATGATAATTTACCATGATATTTGATAAAATAGTTTTGTGCATTCAGAATAATTTCTTTTTTCTTTACCTTTGAAAATAACGCATTGATAGTTAATTCTCTCCTAAATTGTCTGTTTTTATTTCCATAAAAGGTATTTATTGAATGTCTCTTTACTTTTAATATAACTAGGCATTGTGTGATCAAAGTAAAATTAATATGTTCTTGTTTCCGGAATTACTACCGCTTTGAAAATGGACTTATCTACCTCAAACCAATGGGACATATTCCCATGTGGCCTGCTCACCTATTAGGGTTCCCAGGGTAAGTGGTGATTCCTGTTCTATCTTTTTAAAGATTTTAGAAATGCAGCTTCTGCTGTGGGCCACTAGGCGGAGTACTTCAGAGCAGGGTTTGTGGGAGTACAAAGCTAACTTCCGCTGCTTTTGCTTGATGCTTCTGTAGCTTCCTTGACTACTGTGGATGATAAGTAACCATTTTCTTCCCTTCTTTTCTTTTTCCCCTCACTCTTCGGAGTGAACTTGAAACATCTAGGAAGTTTGTTGATCAACATATACCGTGTTTATGAAAATCCAGCTATGATAATATGGTAGGACTCCTTTGGTTATAAATAATAGAATTCAAACTCAAACTGGTCTAAGCCAAAAAAAAAATATTAATTTGTGGACTCGTATAATGGAAAAATCCAGGGTGTAGCTTCAGAATGGCTGAACGTAGGGACTCAGGACTTAGCTCTTCTCAGCTTTCTTGCTTTTTTCTTCCCCATTGACTTTATTCTCAGACAAGTTTTCCCTTTGTTCTGCAATGTGGCCATCATCACTCCTCCAGTTTACACTTCCTTAGTTCCACAGCCCCAGAATAAAGCAAACACAGAAACACTTCTAATAGTCTCAATAAGAGACTAGAGATTGACTTTGGGTGTGACGCTTGGATTTCATGTCCGTCTCTAGTCTGATCTGTGCCAGGATTAGAAGTATATTTATTGGCCAGGCCTGTGTCATGAGCTCATACAGAGTTTGCACTGTCCACACAGTGCCTTTGCAAGTATTAGAAAATGGCTACCCTTTCTGCAGTTAGATGCAGCCCTGTATCGGGGCATGTGGCTTGGAGAAGAGCATGTAGGCCGGATTTCAGCCCCCCTTTCTCCCTTAGCTGGGTTTCTTCCTTGAGTGAACAACATACTTGTTAGTAGCTGTCCTGTGCTTATTCCTGAAACTGGGGGTGAAATCAGCCCCCACGCCAAAACTGAAGGACAGAAGGTGGCTTCATCTAGGGTATCAGATAAAGGCTAATAACAAAGGGAGGGGACAGTGGGTGCTGTGTGGGCAAAAGGAACAAAAAATAATCGTAACCTGTCTAGACTTCATCTCAGAAACCATATGCAACCTTCTTCAATGGAAATATTTAACACTTCAAGAGTGCCAAGAAGGTTATAAGGAGCATATCTCTTAAGGACCTAAGTTAGGAGATTCTAGAATGTATGCTTTATGGATTTACCTTATAAATATATAACATTGACAAATGCACACAGAAAATATATTGCAGAGTAACACAGATGAAATACTTGAAATACATGACATTCTGCCACAGTCTATCATTATTTTCTAACTTATCAAAAGACTCAGAGGATCTTTTTTTTTCCATATTGATAAATTTCTAACCAGAGCCCTATTTACTCGTGTCTTGAAAAACAGACTATTTGCAAATATGTCTGAAGAGGGAAGAGAAAGAAAATGATTCCAAAAAAGCTGATAACATTAAGACAGCTTTTAATAGAAGATGTTAATTTGCAACCACAAATTAAAAACTTATAGGAGATACACAAAATGTGAAGAAGAAGAAAAGAAACCAAACCACTACAAGAAATAACCAAACATAAGAAGACAGCAAGAGAGGAAAAAAAAAAGAACTGCAAAACATATGAAAAACAATTAACAAAATGCAAGTTACTCCTTACCTATCAACAATGACTTTAAATGTGAAAGGATTAAACTATCTAATTAAAAGACATAGAGTGGCACAATGCATAAAAGATACTCATCAGTACATATTTATAAGGGAGTCACTTTAGATATAAAGATACATAGAGGCTCAAAGTGAAGGGATGGGAACAGACACTCTACACAAATGGTAACCAAAAAGGAGCAAGGGTATCTATACTTAGATCAGAAAAAATAGACTTGAAATCAAAAACTGTCACTAGAGACTAAGAAGGTCATTATGTAATGATAAAAGTTCGCTTCAACAGGAAGATTATGTATCCACCCAACATTAGAACACCTAAATATATAAAGTTAATATCAACAAAGCTAAGGGGAGAAATCAGTAACAATAAAAGAATAGTAGCTAACTTCAGTACCCCAAATGCAATAATGGATAGAACATCTAGGCAGGAAAAAAAAGAAAAAAAAGAGGAAACAGCTGACTTGAACAACATGGTACATTAAACACTGACATATACAGAACTTTCCATCCAACAGCATCAGAATATACATTCTTCTCAAGTGCACACAGAACATTCTCTGAGATAGATCAAATCTTAGGTCACAAGGCATCCTACAAATTTAAGAAGTTTGATATAATGCCAAGTATCTTCTCAGACCACAATGGAATAAAATTAGAAATCAATAACAAAGAAAACAGAAACATTTACAAAAATGCAGAAACTAAACAACACACTCTTGAACAACCATTGGGTAAAAGGAGAAATCAAAAGGGAATTTTAAAAGTATCTTGAGACAAACAAAAATGAACATACAACTCAACAAAACTTACAGGATGCAGCAAAAGAAGTGCTAAGAGGGAAATGTTATAGTGATAAACACCTACATTAAAAAATAAGAAAGATCTCAATTGAACAACCTAACTTTACAAATAAACAGTTAGAAAAAGAAGAACTAACTAAGCCCAAAGTTAGCATAATGAAGTAAATAATAAAGATTAGAATATAAATAAAATAACTTTAAAATAAAAAACAATATAAAAATCAACAAAGCTAGAGTTGTATTTTTGGAAATAAAAACAAAAATAACAAACCCCTAGCTACATTAAGAAAAAAAGAGAGACTCAAGTAAATATAATCAGAAATGAAAATGGAGACATTATAACAAATGTACAGGAATACAAATGATTATAAAGGACAATTAAGCAATTATATGCCAATAAATTGGATAACCTAGAAGAAATGGATAAATTCTTAGAAAGATGCAATCTACCAAGTTGGAACAAAAAAGAAATAGAACAGACCAAAAGCAAGCAAAGAGATTCAATCAGTAATAAAAAATTTCCCAACAAAGAAAAGCCCAGGTGCAGATGCTTTCATGGGCAACTTCTACCAAACAGTCAAAGAAGAACTAACACCAAAACTTCTTAAGCTCTTTAGAAAAAATAGAAGAGAGAATACTCCCAAACTCATTTCATGAGGCCAATGTTACCATGACTTAAAAGCTAGATGAAAACAACACAAGAAAAAATAATTACAGACCAGTATCCTTAATGAATATAGATGCAAAAATTCTCAATAAACTACTAATTGGAATTTATCTATGGGATGCAAGGATGGTTCAATGTGTAAAAATTAATAATGTGATATACCACATTAACAGAATGAAAGACAAAAATAACATTCCAATAGATGCAGAAAACACATTTGACAAAATTCAACATACTTTCATGATAAAACTCTCAACAAAATAGGTATAGAAGAAACTTACCTCAACACTATAAAGGCTGTATATGAAAAACCTGTATCTAATATAATAATCAATGGGGAAAAATGAAAGCTTTTTCTTTAATATCTGGAACAAGACAAGGATGCCTACTCTCACCACTCCTATTCAACATAGTACTGGAAGTCCTAGCCAGAGAAATCAGGCAAGAGAAATAAAAGGCATCAAAATTGAAAGGAAAGATGTAGTTATCTCTGTTAACAGAAGACATGATTATTATACATTGAAAACTCTAAAGACTCCACAGAAAATGGTTAGAAATAATTGGTTAGAAATAATACAGTCAGTCTTTCATATCTGCCAGGGATTTGTTTCAGGACCCCCTCAGATAACAAAATCTGTGATGATCAACTCCCTCATGTAAAATCATGTACAGTTGGCCCTGTGTATCCATGGGTCCACATCTGTGGATTCAAACCACCACAGATGGAAAATATGTACAAGTTTGGTTCATGGTTGGTTGAGTTCATGGTTGCAGAACCCATGAATATGAAGGACTGACTATATAATAAATTTATTAAAGTTGTAGGATATACAATAGACATACAAAAATCATTGCTATTTCTAAACACTAACAATGAATTGTCTGAAAGGGAAATTTAAAAAACAATATCAAATAAACTACTTTGGAATTAACTAACCAAAGAAGTGAAAGACTTAAACACTACAAATTACAAAAGATTGATGATGGAAATTTGAAGTAAATTGAAAGACAACCCATGGATTGAAAGAGTGAGTACTGTATTATTAAAGTGTCCATATTACTCAAAGCAATCTACACATTTAATGTAATCCATATCAAAATCCCAATGGTGTCTCTCGCAGAAATAGAAAAAATAATCCTAAAATTCATATAGAATCACAAAAAACCCTGAGTAGCCAAAGCAATTTTGAGCAAGAACAAAGCTACAGGTATCACACTTCCTGACTTCAAATTAAATTACAAAGCTGTAGAAAGGAAAACACTGTGGTACTGGCATAAAAACAGACACATAAACCAGTGGAACAAAATAGAGAACCTAGGTATAACCCACACATTTGCAGCAATTGATCACCCTGGAGGGTGACAAGGAGACACAATAGGGGGAGGATATGCTCTTGAACAAATGGTGTTAGGAAAGCTGGATGTCCACATGCAAAACAATGAAATCGGATCCCTAGCTCACATCATACATAAAAATTAACTCAAAATGGATTAAACATTTAAATGCAATACCTGAAACCATAAAACTCCTAGAAGAAGACAGGAGAAAACATTCTTGACATTGGTCTTGGCAATAATTTGTTTAGATATGATGCCAAAAGCACAGGCAACAAAGGCAAAATAGGTAAATGAATTACATCAAACTAAAAAGCTTCTGCACAGCAAAGAAAACAACTAATGAAATGATAAGGCAACCTATGAAATGGGGAAAAAGTTTGTAAACCATATCTCTTATAAGGAGTTCAAAAAATAAGGACACATACACATCAATTCCAAAATTACAAATAACCTAATTTTATTTTAAGGCAAAGAATCTAAATAAATATATCTCAAAAGAAGGAATTCAAATGGCTAACAGGTATATGAAAATGTGCTCAACATCTCTAAACTTCAGAGAAATGCAAATCAAAACCACAATGAGATATCAGGTCACACCTGTCAAAATGGCTATTATCAAAAAGGCCAAAGATAAGTGTTGGTGAGAATGTGGAGAAAAGGAAACCCTTATACACTATTGATGGGAATGCAAATTAGTAAAACACAGAAAACAGTATTGAGGTTCCTCCAAAGAAAATTGAAACTAGCACTGGCCTGGTGTGGTGGCTCACACCTGTAACCCCAGGATTTGGGGAAGCTAAGGCAGGAGTCCAGGAGCTCCAGACCAGCCTGGGTAACATAGCAAGACCCCATCTCTGAAAAAATTTAAAATTAGCCAGACATGGTGTTGTACACCTGTAGTCCCAGCTACTTGGGAGGCTGAGGTAGGAG